>NC_000004.12:88012290-88163805 GCF_000001405.40 Homo sapiens | reverse complement strand
CCTTTGGCCCAGACAGCTTTGTTGAACCTGGTATTAACACACACATCTGGAGTTCCCATCTCCTTCATGGCAAATTTCCGGATCTCTCTGAGTGCCCCAGGGACACACTTCTTGAAGCCCACTCTATGAATGCGCTTGTGAATGCTGATGGCTTATTCTTGGGTCACTACCTCGTTTATGGCAGAATAGCCCTTCTTCTTCTCGCCGCTTTTCTTTGCAGGAGCCATTCTGCCTGGCCCAATTTGGAAAAGAAGAGCGTGAGGGATTCTTAAGTTTCCTTTTCTTTTCTAATTCTAATTCCTCTGGATCCCATTTCATTATGCTTCCTAAGGGACCTGACACTACCAATAACCCTTTCTTTCTTTATGGCTTGTCCTCTTGGCATGCACACATGTTCTAGTCTGTCTAATTCAAACCAAATGAATATTTTCTCTGAACCCTAAGATAGCCTCTAGCTATATTCCTTTCTCTCACCTTCCTTTTATACTGAAATCTTTAGGAAGAGTTTTAAACTGTTTCCATTATTTTATTTACAATAACTGTTTGCACCATTATAGACTGAACTTTCTCTTGCCATATTAGTCAAAGGCCCTGATAGCTGTGAGCTGGGCTGTGGGGGAATACTGTGCACATAGCCTCTCTTCCACTGTTATTTTCTTAACTTGGAGTGGTAATGAAAATAGATATACTCGGACTGAATACATCTGTTATATATGTAACCCAAATGTCCCCAGGCCCATGGTGAATCCTGTCTGAAACCTGACCTTGCCAGGGAAAATTGACAATTCTGGAGTTCACCTTTGGAGTAAGCACTAAGAAATGTAGCATACTGGGGCCTTACCAGCTCTTTGCAACTGGTGCACAGGCATTCAGCAGGAGTCTCAATATGGGGCCTTATAAATACTGGGCAGTGACTCTTGCCTGGTAAAATAAAAGAAAGGTCCTGTGGTGGAGGGCAGAGGGCAATGGCTTGGAAGGCTGTGAGTCACTTAACCTTTAACCTTGTGCAAATCAGTCTCCTTTGCACTGGTGACTTATCTGTAAAATGAGGAAAGTCATCTAACATCTGACCTAATGAGGAAGGTCCTTTTTCTCTAAAATTCTATGGCTAGCTCCAAAAACAATGCTAACTTACAAGTTAAAATGACTCATTTCTATACAGTGCAATACATTTATAAAATGCTGGCTTTAATCTGAACTTATCAAATAGAATTTGATAAAATATTAGGATGAGGTTAGGAACTAATAAAACTTTATTTTGAATTTTTATTTGATTTACCACTGCCTCCCAATGTAACTTTAGTTAGCAAATAAACCGACCTATAAATATGAAACATCACAATCTAAAATATTTTTAAAATTAGACTAAAATTAAGGAAACTTTTTTTTAGTTTTAGTCCTATTTCAAGTGAGGACTCTATTGTCATGTGTCTTTATATGTATATTTTATCAGTTTATTTTACTTTTAAAATCCATTTTTCATTATAAAATTTATAATTTTCTAAATTTGTTACATAAAATTTAGAAAATTACACTAAAATACAAGATAAAAGACATTCCATGTTACTACCCAGAACAAATGAACACTTTCCTGCTATTTTCTTTCTTTCTCTTTTTCTTTAGAGTGGGGTCTCACTCTGATCATGGCTCGCTGCAGCCTTGAACCCCGGGGCTCAAGCAATCCTTCCACCTCAGCCCCCCAAATAGCTAGGTCCACAGGCATGTGCCATCACATCCAGCTAATTTTTAAAAAATTGTTTGTACAAATTTACAAGAAAAAAACAAACAACCCCATCAAAAAGTGGGCGAAGGACATGAACAGACACTTCTCAAAAGAAGACATTTATGCAGCCAAAAAACACATGAAGAAATGCTCATCATCACTGGCCATCAGAGAAATGCAAATCAAAACCACTATGAGATATCATCTCACACCAGTTAGAATGGCAATCATTAAAAAGTCAGGAAACAACAGGTGCTGGAGAGGATGTGGAGAAATAGGAACACTTTTACACTGTTGGTGGGACTGTAAACTAGTTCAACCATTGTGGAAGTCGGTGTGGCGATTCCTCAGGGATCTAGAACTAGAAATACCATTTGACCCAGCCATCCCATTACTGGGTATATACCCAAAGGACTATAAATCATGCTGCTATAAAGACACATGCACACGTATGTTTATTGCGGCACTATTCACAATAGCAAAGACTTGGAACCAACCCAAATGTCCAACAATGATAGACTGGATTAAGAAAATGTGGCACATATACACCATGGAATACTATGCAGCCATAAAAAATGATGAGTTCATGTCCTTTGTAGGGACATGGATGAAATTGGAAACCATCATTCTCAGTAAACTATCGCAAGAACAAAAAACCAAACACCGCATATTCTCACTCATAGGTGGGAATTGAACAATGAGATCACTTGGACACAGGAAGGGGAATATCACACTCTGGGGACTGTGGTGGGGTCGGGGGAGGGGGGAGGGATAGCATTGGGAGATATACCTAATGCTAGATGACACGTTAGTGGGTGCAGCGCACCAGCATGGCACATGTATACATATGTAACTAACCTGCACAATGTGCACATGTACCCTAAAACTTAGAGTATAATAAAAAAAAAAAAAATTAAAAAAAAAAATTGTTTGTAGAGACAGGGGCTCCCTGTGTTGCCTAGGCTTGTCTCGAATTCTTGGGCTCAAGCAATCCTCTGGCCTCCTCCCAAAGTGCTGGGATTACAGGTGTAAGCCACCACACCCAGTGTAATTTAAAATATTTTTTTTTTGTAGAGATAGGGTCTCAGTATGTTGCCCAGGCTGGTCTTGAACTCCTGGGCTCAAGCAATTCTTTGGCCTCTGCCTCCCAAAGTGTTGGGATTACAGGAGTGAGCTGTCACTCCTTGCCCAGCAATTTTCTATGTATAGGTTTTTTTTTTTTTTTTTTTTTTTTGAGATGGAGTCTCACGTTGTCACCCAGGCTAGAGTGCAGTGACATGATCTTGGCTCACTGCAGCCTCTGCCTCCCTGGCTCCAGCAATTCTCCTGCCTCAGCCTCCTGGGTAGCTGGGATTACAGGCATGAGCCACCATGCCCGGCTAATTTTTGTATTTTTAGTAGAGAAGGGTTTCACCATGTTGGCCAGGCTGCTCTTGAAGTCCTGATATCAGGTGATCCACCTGCCTCGGCCTCCCAAAGTACTAGGATTACAGGCGTGAGCCACCGTGCCTGGCCTCTATGTATAGGGTTTTGATTTGTTTTTACTTTGCATAATTACAGAATGCTATATTCAACTAAGTATCCATTTTTAAAAATGTGCTTCATATCAGTTTCGTGTGTGTTTTCTCCATTTTTGTTCAGTCTCCTCCTGTAGTGCCTTCAGATCTTGCTGGAAATGTTTTCATTTTTTCTGGTATCATAAAATTTTATTCTTTTCACTTATCTGGGTGAGCTAAAAAGAAAATTAAAATAAAATTTATTTTTCGGAGATTTTTCAGTTTTTGCAAACAGTCGTTAACGGCCAGGTCTGAAAACTTTATCTTAATTTTTTTTTTTTTCTTGAGACAGAGTCTCACTCTGTGGCCCAGGCTGGAGTGCAGTGGTGGGATCTCGGGTCATTTGCAACCTCTGCCTCCTGTGTTCAAGCGCTTCTTGTTCCTTAGCCTCGCGAGTAGCTGGGATTACAGCCTCGCCACCACACCCAGCTAACTTTTGTATTTTTAGTAGAGGCAGGGTTTCACCATGTTGGCCAGGCTGGTCTCGAACTCCTGGCCTCAAGTGATCTGCCTGCGTCAGCCTCCCAAAGTGCTGGGATTACAGGCATGAGCCACCGTGCTGGCCTTAATTTTGTCTTAAAATGAAGTATGACTAACATGTATTTCTATATGGGCCTTTAAGGGTCTTGAAACTGACAGAAATTAATTCAAAAGAATAATTTTACCCAAATGTTTGGGCGCATCATGAATATATACCTTAAAATTCTTTTAAAAAGCATGCGGTATGGTATATTTAAAATTCTTTTTAAAAAATTATGTATAGTCAATTTTCTTATCTAGGCTTCCTAGCTAAAACTTTCCTGCATTGGGTGAACCATTAATAGTTATTCCTAGTGTTGATTTAAACAACTTAAATGATACTATGATTTTTGTTTGTAAATGCAAACCAGAAAATATCTGCATGCAGGTACTAATTTCCTAGGGTAGATGCAGCAGGTAGATGTTGGGATGGCTACACTCACAAAGCCTGATGGCCCGTTTCCTGAACATGCGCAATCACTTTCTAGCCTTTCCACACCATCGGAATATTGCACAGAAGTATGTCAGTCACAGGAGTGTAAAGAATAACATTTAAACTATGGTAATATTTTCATTCAGTAAGTTTCTCCCCTTTCCTTCCTTGGGTTAGATTCAGTGCCTGATTTTTTTAGGCCCTGGGGCGCAAGCATCCACTTTCTCAGAATCCCATTCACCAGAAACCACCCATTTAACTTGCTCTGGGTGCGAGCAGCGCTTGTGACTGGGCAACCTGTGCGTCAGCGTCCCCGGTGCTTCGGCGCTCCGGCCAGTGACGGCGACCAAACCCAGCTAGGTCAGACGAGGTACTGATCAGCCCAATGAGCGCCTGGTGATTCTCGTAGTTAATCACTCTGGTTCATTCCGTTCGATCCCGGAGGCGGGAGTGTTTGGCTTGTCCCTGCGTGTCACGGCAGGGTGACCCTAGCCCCGAGGGAGGGCGGTGGTACCAGTCCTGCTGGCGGCTCAGCGCGGCAGGACACGTGTGCGCTTTCAGCCGGGTCGCAGGGCGCTTATCGCGGCCCGGCAGTCGGGGCCACGCCTCACCCCCGCCCGCGAACCCCGACCTGGGGAAACCCGGGGCGCTGGGGAGGGGCCACTGCGTTCAGCTCTGGCGGTCCACAGCCCGAAGCGCGGCTTAGGAAGTTCGTGTCAGCGCTGCCTGAGCTCGTCCCCTGGATGTCCGGGTCTCCCCAGGCGGCCACCCGCCGGCTCCCATCGTGACCTCCAGCCGCAGCGCCTCCCACGCCGGCCGCCGCGCGAGGGGAGCGCTCGGGCGCGCCGGGTGTGGTTGGGGGAAGGGGTTGTGCCGCGCGCGGGCTGCGTGCTGTGCCCACTCAAAAGGTTCCGGGCGCGCAGGAGGGAAGAGGCAGTGCCCGCCACTCCCACTGAGATTGAGAGACGCGGCAAGGAGGCAGCCTGTGGAGGAACTGGGTAGGATTTAGGAACGCACCGTGCACATGCTTGGTGGTCTTGTTAAGTGGAAACTGCTGCTTTAGAGTTTGTTTGGAAGGTCCGGGTGACTCATCCCAACATTTACATCCTTAATTGTTAAAGCGCTGCCTCCGAGCGCACGCATCCTGAGATCCTGAGCCTTTGGTTAAGACCGAGCTCTATTAAGCTGAGTGAGTAAATTGTAAAACCAGTTTCGCTGAGAGTGTGTGTCTGGAAAGGTTGGTGGGCGTTGTGTATATATTTGTTAGAAAATCGGTAACCGTTCAAACGAGACGACTGAGTTTTTTAGCCTTTCGCAGTTTCATTTGAAAGTGGGTATGCAGTTTAAAACTGACAGTTCAAAGTGGTTTTTCAGAAAATGATGCCCTGGTGCAAACTGATTCTGGGTCCCATAGTGTGTTAAGTGTGGGTTGGTAAAAACTCTTGGCCTTTCTCCAAATGTATGAAATTAAAGTTGATATTGGAAGGATAAAAACCCACTGAGCACAGAAGTTACTATAGGTGGAGGAAACATTTGTTGATGTTAATATTTTAAAGGGGTTGACCAATATAGGAATTGGTCAATGACAATTGGGAATAGGTAAATGACAAATTATTGGTCAATCCCTTTAAAGCTTTGGATGGTTTGCTAAAGAATTATTGAACTCCCTTTTGTAATTTTCTGTGGATAGTTGAGTGCTCTTACTCCCTTCTCAGTCCTAGAGATATCCCCTAAAGCTTGGTTTTTAGGAGGATCTTACAGCTCTCTTATCATTTGAATGTCAGCTAGTCATAAATAAATACACCAGAGTAGTAAGGAAGAGATGTTTTTTATTGATATTCTTTACAAAACAGTGCTTTCAGAGTACAGCTTTGACTGGATTGTATAGATCTTGATGAGATCTTGATGAGAAAGGTTTCAACGACAAAGATGGCATGTTAAGTCTAACATTACCCTTCCATTATAAACATTGAAAGATGTTGGTTATTTTATTATTTATTTTATAATAACTTTTAATTGTGAAATAATTTGAGAGTTACTGAAAATTTGCAAAAAATAGTACAGAGAGTTCCCATAATATCATGCATAACAAGGGCCAAAACTAATAACATGGGCATGCTACTATAATACAATGAACTAAACTACAGACTTTATTTGGATTTCACTTGTCTTTCCACTGTCCTTTTTCTGCCCAGGATCCAATCGATGATCTCACTTTGCATTTAACTGCTAAATATCCTTAATTTTCTCTGATCTGTGACAGTTCCTCAGCCTTTCATTGTTTTTTCATGGACCTTGACACTAGTGAAGAAGACCCGGTCAGTTAATTTGTAGAATGCCCCTCAATTTGTGTTTGCTTGATGTTTAGTGTCATGATTAGATGAATGTTCTGCATTTTGGGGAAAAATGTCACAGAAGTAAAGTTTCCATCTCAGTATGTCATATTGGGTACATGATGTCAATACTTTTTTTTGAGACTGAGTCTTGCTTTATTGCCCAGACTGGAGTGCAGTGGCACGATCTCAGCTCATTGCAACCTTTGCCTCCCAGGTTCTAGCGATTCTCCTGCCTCAGCCTCCTGAGTAGCTGGGATTATAGGCGCCTGCCACCATGCCCAGATAATTTTTTGTATTTTTAGTAGAGACAGGTTTCATGTTGGCCAGGCTGGTCTCGAACTCCTGACCTCTAGTGATCCTCCTGCCTTGGCCTCCCAAAGTGCTGGGATTACAGGCGTGAGCCACTGTGCCCTAGCCGATACTTCTTATTACCTATGATGTTAATCTGTTTGCCAGATTCCCTTTGTATTTGAGATCTTGGGAGAGAAACCTGCACTGCCATTTTTCCTTAAACTTTTATTCATTAATTTAAGCATCCATTTGTGGAACATGTTGTTTAGCGGGTTTTTTTTCCTAATGGTTAAACAAAACCCCTATTTTCTTCCTTCTACATTTTTTAATTAAAATTCCCTTCTGTAGGGAAGAGTTGACCCTTCTCTCCTGTTCATTGATTCAGTTATTTGTATCAGTATGGGCTCATGGATATTTGTTTTGTTATATGGGTTATAATCCAATATTATCAGTATTTAATTTGCTGCTCAAATTGTTCTGGCTTTCACCACTGGGACCTTTTTCAGGTTGGCGCCTGTGCCACTTTGACATACACTTGCTTTTTCTTTTTCCTTCTTTTTTTTTTTTTTTTTTTTTTGAGACGGAGTCTTTGTCGCCCAGGCTGGAGTGCAGTGGCACGATCTCGGCTCACTGCACCCTCCGCCTCCCAGGCTCAAGCGATTCTTGTGCCTCAGCCTACCAAGTAGCTGGGATTACAGGTACGTAGCACCACACTTGGCTACTTTTTGTATTTTTTAGTAGAGACGGGGTTTTCCATGTTGGCCAGGCTGGTCTCAAACTCCTGGCCTCAAGTGATCTGCCCGCCTCGGCCTCCCAAAGTGCTGGGATTACAGGTGTGAGCTATCATGCCCGGACTCTTTTTCTTTTTTAATGCATTTCTTGATTTCTGGCATCAGAGAATGCTCAGGCTTATTTTGTATTTTCCATGTCCCAACCTTGGAATGATCCATTTCTCCAAGGCACTGTGATTATTTTGCTTTAGAATGGTATTAGAAGCTAATATCTGGACACTGGATGTTCTATTAGAGTTACTTCTTTTTTTTTTTGAGATGGAGTCTTGCTCCAGGCCAGAGTGCAATGGTGGGATCTCAGCTGACTGCAACCTCCTCCGCTTCCTGGGTTCAAGCAATTCTCCTGCCTCAGCCTCCTGAGTAGCAGGGATTACAGGCATGTGCCACCACGCCCAGCTAATTTTTAATGTTTTTAGTAAAGACGAGGTTTTGCCATGTTGGCCAGGCTGGTCTCGAACTCCTGACTTTGGGTGATCCACCCGCCTCGGCCTCCCCAAGTGCTGGGAATACAGGCATGAGCCACCGTGCCCGGCCTAGAGTTACTTTTGAACTTTTTATGTATAATAAAAAGTTTGTGACTTAGCAAATGCTAAGTCTGAAAAGATTGGTGTCAGGCCTCTGAGCCCAAGCTAAGCCATCATATCCTCTGTGACCTACACTTACACATCCAGATGGCTGGTTCCTGCCTTAACTGATGACATTACCTTGTGAAATTCCTCCTTCTGGCTCATCCTGGCTCTGTACTGCCTCAAGGCTTCACAGACAGCCCCCATTACTTCAGTCAAACCCAAATTTCTTCCTCATCTGTTACCTATCTTGTCATAATTCTTCATAAAAACACACGTGCTCTCCCTGCCAATCGTGTCTGACTGATCTCTCAAACCCCAACACCTTCTACAAAACAACTCCTTTCCTTCCTAGGCATGGTTGGATACTTTCGACTTTGGATACCTGGTTTCGCCATCCTAACAAAGCCATTATATAAACTCACAAAAGGAAACCTAGCTGACCCCATAGATCCTAAATCCTTTCCCCACTCCTCTTTCCATTCCTTCAAGACAGCTTTAGAGACTGCCCCCCACCCTAGCTCTCCCTGACTCATCCCAACCCTTTTCATTACACACAGCCGAAGTGCAGGGCTGTGCAGTCAGAATTCTTACACAAGGACCAGGATCGCGTCCTGTAGCCTTTTTGTCCAAACAACTTGACCTTACTGTTTTAGCCTAGCCATCATGTCTCCGTGCAGTGGCTGCCGCCGCCCTAATACTTTTAGAGGCCCTCAAAATCACAAACTATGCTCAACTCACTCTCTACAGCTCTCATAACTTCCAAAATCTATTTTCTTCCTCACACCTGACACATATACTTTCTGCTCCCCGGCTCCTCCAGCTATACTCACTCTTTGTTGCGTCTCCCACAATTACCATTGTTCCTGGCCCAGACTTCAATCCGGCCTCCCACATTATTCCTGATACCACACCTGACCCCCATGACTATCTCTCTGATCCACCGGGCATTCACCCCATTTCCGCATATTTCCTTCTTTCCTGTTCCTCACCCTGAACACTTGGTTTACTGATGGCAGTTCCACCAGTCCTAATTGCCACTCACCAGCAAAGGCAGGCTATGCTATAGTATCTTCCACATCTATCATTGAGGCTACCACTCTGCCCCCCTCCACTACCGCTCAGCAAGCCGAACTCATTGCCTGAAGTCAAGCCCTTGCTCTTGCAAAGGGACTACACATCAATATTTATACTGACTCTAAATATGCCTTCCATATCCTGCACCACTATGCAAGAGGTTTCCTCACTACACAAGGGTCCTCTATCATTAATGCTTCTTTAATAAAAACGCTTCTCAAAGCCGCTTTACTTCCAAAGGAAGCTGGAGTCATTCACTGCAAGGGCCATCAAAAAGGTATCATATCCCATCGCTCAGGACAATGCTTATGCTGATAAGTTAGCTAAAAAAGCAACTAGTGTTCCAACTTCTGTCCCTCAGGGTCAGTTTTTCTTCTTCGCATTGGTCACTCCCACCTACTCCCCCACTGAAACTTCCACCTATCAATCTCTTCCCACACAAAGCAAATGGTTCTTAGACCAAGGAAAATATCTCCTTCCAGCCTCACAGGCCCATTCTATTCTGTCATCATTTCATAACCTCTTCCATGTAGGTTACAAGCCGCTAGCCTGCCTCTTAGAACATTTCCTTTCCATCGTGGAAATCTGTCCTCAAGGAAATCACTTCTCAGTGTTCCATCTGCTATTCTACTACTCCTCAGGAATTTCTCATGCCCCCTCCCTTCCCTACACATCAAGCTCGGGGTTTTGCTCCTGCCCAGGACTGGCAAATTAGCTTTACTCACATGCCCCGAGTCAGGAAACTAAAATACTTCTTGGTCTGGGTAGACACTTTCACTGGATAGGTAGAGGCCTTTCCCACAGGGTCTGAGAAGGCCACGACGGTCATATCTTCCCTTCTGTCAGACATAATTCCTTGGTTTGGCCTTCCCACCTCTATACGGTTCAATAGAGGACCGGCCTTTATTAGTCAAATCAGCCAAGCAGTTTTTCGGGCTCTTGGTATTCAGTGAAACATTTATATCCCTTACCATCCTCAATCTTCAGGAAAGGTAGAACGGACTACTGGTCTTTTAAAAACACACCTCACCAAGCTCAGCCACCAACTTAAAAAGGACTGGATAATACTTTTACCACTTGCCCTTCTCAGAATTCGGGCCTGTCTTCGGAATGCGACAAAATACAGCCCATTTGAGCTCCTGTATAGATGCTCCTTTTTATTAGGCCCCAGTCTCATTCCAGACACCAGACCAACTTGGACTGCGCCCCCAAAAACTTGTCATCCCTACTATCTTCTGTCTAGTCATACTCCTATTCACCATTCTCAACTACTCATACATGCCCGCTCTTGTTTACACTGCCGGTTTACACTGTTTCTCCAAGCCACCACAGCTGATATCTCCTGGTGCTATCCCCAAACCGCCACTCTCAACTCTTAAAGTAAATAAATCATCTTTGCTGGCAGGGCTATGCTGAACCTCCTTAGGCACTCTCTAATTGGATGTCCTGGGTCCTCCCAATTCTTAGTCCTTTAATACCTGTTTTTCTCCTTGTCTTATTCCGTTCTTTTTTCAATTCATACAAAATTGTATCCAGGCCATCACCAATACTTATATAGGACAATTGTTTCTTCTAACAACCCCACAATATCACCCCTTACCACAAAATCTTCCTTCAGCTTAATCTCTCCCACTTTAGGTTCCCACGCCGCCCCTAATCCCACTTGAAGCAGCCCTGAGAAACATCACCCATTCTCTCTCCATACCACCCCCCAAAAATTTTCACCACCCCAACACTTTACCACTATTTTGTTTTATTTTTCTTATTAATATAAGAAGACAGGAATGTCAGGCCTCTGAGCCCAAGCTAAGCCATCATATCCCCTGTGACCTGCACATATACATCCAGATGGTTGGTTCCTGCCTTAACTGATGACATTCCACCACAAAAGAACTGAAAATGGCCTGTTCCTGCCTTAACTGATGACATTACCTTGTGAAATTCCTTCTCCTGGCTCATTCTGGCTCAAAAGCTCCCCCGCTGAGCACCCTGTGACGCCCCACCCCTGCCCACCAGAGAACAAACCCCCTTTACCCTTTACCTACCCAAATCTTATGAAATGGCCCCATCCCTATCTCCCTTTGCTGACTTTCTTTTCGGACTCAGCCCGCCTGCATCCAGGTGATTAAAAAGCTTTATTGCTCACACGAAGCCTGTTTGGTGGTCTCTTCACACGGACGCGAGTGAAAATTCATATTGCCTTAAAGTTTAAACATTATAGAGGACCTGACTGTATTTGCCAACTTGGATTCAGTCTCTTATGGGAAAGAAGTAAAATTGGTAGTATTTAGTAATTTTTTAAAGCTCCCATTTTTTTCTCAAATGAAACCCTGCCAGTGCTTCCAAAACAAATAATGCATATGTGAGCTTCTATCTATTAGGCTCTGGTAAGAAACCAGGATCATTTTATTAGCTGAGTAGCTTAAACTACATCCTAATATTATAATTTTGGTATCTGTTGATTGAATTCACAGTGAGAAAAGGATTTGAGACCCATATTTATGTTAGTCATACTAGCAATGAAGAAGTACTGTGTTTATGATGAGACATTATTTGGTCTGAGATGGTAACTGTACCCGTGGATTAGAGAGAGGATCCCTTGCAATAATTAATGAGCCCTTCTATGATTTTGGAGTACACACACATTACATGCTCCTTCTTTTATATCTTTGTATACTGGATCATGATGTTTTTTATTGTAGGTCTCAGAATTTTGAGAAGTAATGCCGCTGCTCACATTTAATTTTCTGTTAATAATTCTTTTTTTTTTTTTTTGAGATGGAGTCTCACTCTGTCGCCCAGGCTGGAGTGCAGTGGCGCCATCTCGGCTCACTGCAAGCTCCACCTCCCGGGTTCACGCCATTCTCCTGCCTCAGCCTCCCCAGCAGCTGGGACTACCGGCGCCCCTCCACCACGCCCAGCTACTTTTTTGTATTTTTAGTAGAGATGGGGTTTCACCGTGTTAGCCAGGATGGTCTTGATCTCCTGACCTCGTGATCCACCTGCCTCGGCCTCCCAAAGTGCTGGGATTACAGGCATGAGCCACTGCACCCAGCCTCTGTTCATAATTTTTACTGCAATTCCGATGATTGAATTATAAACTGGAAGGGAGCAGGGATATTGATCTTCATGTAGTTGACATGTACTAGACTCACGGAGAACAAGGACTGGGTTGTAGGCACAATGCTGTGTGGTTTTGGGTAAATCTAACTCACACTCAACTTGATTTTGTTTCCCCCTGGGGACTTAGGATCCCAAAATGTTCTAATGACCCACCTCACTGCTGCTAATCTTCCCACAGTGCCAATTTGGTGGAGTCAACCTTGCAAAGGGAGAAGAGAAAGGGTGATGACTTTCCCAGAGCTTCTGCCGCTGTCCTCCCTATGTCTTCTAGCCCCAGTCACTACTCCTTTTATTTAAATTCATAGGGGCTTCTCAGTCAGTCCCCTCTTAAATGTAAATGAGTTATTCACTTCCTGTGGGCCTGAAGCTGAACCACTGTCATTTATTTTTGACCTTGTTTTCCCAGTTTGGGCAGTGTAAGAGGAGGTCAGGAAATGGAATTGTTTGGGGCAGGCGATTTTGCAGAACATGCACAGATAATAGGTTTCAGGGAGCTCTCATAGGCTATGGAGGGAGGGGTGCAGGACAGTGTCCTCATCTTGGCTCTTGATATTATTATGGTGGACTCTTATGTGGTCTCCCTGCATTGTCCCTACCCATGACCAAAGTCAGAGTGATCCTTTAAACCAAGCTTGTCCAACGTGCATGTGGCCCAAGATGGCTTTGAATGAAGCCCAACACAAATTAGTAAACTTTCTTAAAACATTATGTGATTTTTGTTTTTAATTTAGCTCATCAGCTGTTGTTAATGTTAGTGTGTTTTATATGTGGCCCAAGACAATTCTTCTTCCAGTGTGGCCCAGGGAAGCCAAAAGATTGGACACTCCTGCTTTAAATATAGATATCATTTCTTCACTCAGAACTTTCCTGTGCCTTCCAGTGCCATTCAGATCAAAGCCAAAGTCCTTCCTGTGGTCAGTGGTAGATACAACCCGAGTTCCTGCTCTCTTATCCTCCCTCACTCTGCTTCAGCCTCACTGGCCTCTTTGCTGTTCCTTCGACCAGCACTTGGACATATACTGCTCCTCCAGAAGGCCACCCTCAGAGCTCTGCTTGAGGGCCTCACTGGAAAGGCCTTCCGTGACCACCTCTGTTGCCCAGGTTGGAGTGCATTGGTGTGACCTTGGCTCACTGCAATCTCTGCCTCCCGGGTTCAAGCAATTCTTGTGCCTCAGTCTCCCAAGTAGCAGGAATTACAGGTATGCGCCACCACACCCGGATAATTTTTGTATGTTTAATAGAGATAAGGATTTCACCATATTGTCCAGGCTGGTCTCCAAATTCCGGGCCTCAAGCAATCCACCCACCTCGGCCTCCCAAAGTGCTGGGATTACAGGCGTGAGCCACCATTTCTGGCCCACCCTTCCTCTTTTGCTTTAATTTTTTTTCTCCGTAGCACTGTTGACTGATATTTTTCATATGTAACCTCACTGAGGGCCGGGATGTTTATCTGTTGTTTTGTTTTGTTCACTCCTGTAAGTCCAGTGCCTGCCAGATAATAGAAGTCTAGTAAATATCGAATTATTATTATTATTTTTTGAGACAGAGTTTCGCTCTTGTTGCCCAGAATGGAGTGCAATGGTGCGAGCTCAGCTCACCGCAACCTCTGCCTCCCAGGTTCAAGCAGTTCTCCTGCCTCAGCCTCCCGAGTGGCTGGGGTTACAGGCATGCGCTACCATGCCCAACTAATTTTGTATTTTTAGTAGAGACAGGGTTTCTCCATGTTGGTCAGGCTGGTCTCGAACTCCCGACCTCATGTGATCCGCCTGCCTCGGCCTCCCAAAGTGCTGGCATTACAGGCATGAACCACCATGCCCGGCCGAATTAATTTTATAGGTGAGAAACAGGCTTGGAGAGGCTAAGCAGTTTCTCCAGGGTTCTGTGGCTAGGAAGTTTAAGGGGAGAAGGAGCTGAAACCCCACACATTCTGTGATGGATTGGATAGCATTTTATGGGCAGCCTTAGGATTTGAACATCTCCGTTCCCTCTGGGAAACTGCTGGCCAAATTGCAGATTAGATTAAGAAAATTTGGGATGTAACACGCATGTAAATTGCACTTGGTCTAATTTCATTTATGATTTGACGATTTTCTAGACTGAAGTTTTGGCTTTCTAATCACAGATTAAAACCAATTTGGACAGAATTCTTTTATTTATTTATTTATTTTTATATTTTAGAGAAAGGATCTTGCTCTCACCCAGACGGGAGTATAGTGGCGTGATCTTGACTCACTGCAGCCTGGAACTCCCTGGGCTCAAGGGATCCCCCTTCCTCAGCCTCACAAGTAGCTAGGTCTACAGGCATGTGCCACCACACCCGGCTAATTTTTCAATTTTATTTTTTGTACAGACGAGCAGAATTCCTGCAGATTTTTGTGGGAATGTAAATGAAAAAACAGTAGCCTTGTAGGGTCTTATGTTCATTTGTTTCTATTCAAAGAGAGGATTTAGATTAAGCTGAAAAATTAAGGGGACAGAAAACTGATTAGTGGTTGTCAGGGGCTCTGGTAAGGAGAGGGGATTTCTTTGGGTTAACATGAATGATCTGTCTTGATTGTAGTGGTTACAGGACTGTGTACACTTTACAATGTCAGAAAACTGTGCTCTTAAAAAGGATGAATTTTACTGTTTACAATACTGTTTCCTGTTGACGGGTTTCCAATAAACATGATTAAAAAAACCAAAGATTAGGCAGAACCGTGTGTACAGTTGGCATAGGATCCCTTCCAAAACAGTTTTTCCTTAGTAATAAGTATTAATTTCTGTAAGTTATTAATTTCCTATAGATACCTTGCTGGCTTTACTGAAAATCTTGTAGGATCAGGATATATAGGAGTGAGGAGAGGGTAGAGCTGGGACCTTGCAGTCAGGGACCCTCCAGAATTCCAGGGTCAAGTCTTAGCTCCTGATCAGGCACGCTGCACCCTTTTGATGGTCTTTGCTTACCTTTTTAGCCTCATTTTGTTACTGCCCCCCTCTGAAAACTAAACTCCAGCCTCATGAATGGTATACATGACCCAACATATCTCTTTCGATTAAGGATTTTGCATTCCTTTACTAGAACAGCTTTTTCTCTTCTCCTTTCTTCTTTTCCATCTACAGGGGTCCCTTGGGGTACAGTGGTCCCTTTGGGTGCATATACCCAAATCCCTGCATACTCAAGTCCCACAAGCAGCCCTGTGGAACCAGTGTATAGGCAGAGTCAGCCCTCTGTATACATGGGTTTGGCATTCTTCCATCTGCGTATAAGTGGACCATGTACTTCAAACCTGTGCTGTTCAAGATTCAGCTGTACTTGGTCTGTCTTCTCTAGGAACTTGCTTCTAAACCCTCCCACCTCGCAGGTCTTGTGCTCCCTCAGGGATGGAACTGTCTTAATCTCTCAGTTATCAAAGGAATGTGAGGTTGTAGAAATTCAGGTGGGGAAGGACATTCCTGGCTGGAAGTATGTCCTGCATTGAAACAGGATAATTGTAGTTTTTGTGAACTACAGCTGTGTTAATCATACTGCGTTCTTAGATAGGTTTGCTTCGGATTTGTGCTTACCTTTCACAAATTTCATGCTCAGTCTATTCTGTATGTGTGTTTTTGCTCTCTAAATTTTATAGGCAGTTCAGTAATCTTACCAGAATCTAAATTCTGTAGAAGAGTTGTCAAAATCTACTCCTTAACATGGTTAGTGACTTTATCTTGCTAGTGCTAACATCTTTATTAAGCTACCTTGCAACAGAGTGTGACACATTGATTTAATCTTTCACTTAATAGGAATAATTGAGAACAGAGTCTGAAGAACTCTGCAGGAAACAAAAATAGTTCCCTGCTTTTATGATAGCCAGCCTCTGTAGAGAAATTCAGTTTTCAAATCCAAATATGACTTTTAGAAATTGCAGATTTGCAAGGAATTCTAAAGGAAATACTTTCATAAATATCATTTTTCTGTGTACTTAGTGTAGGATAGACACAAGGGCAAAGAGCATGAAGAAGAAGAAAGTTCATGCTCTGTGACCCAAGCTTGCAGAACGTTTTAATGCTGAATTGTTAAAGCTGTTATCTAAATACTGGTATATATTGCTAGAGAGTTTAGGTACGTTTTTTTGAGACAGGGTCTTGTCATGTTGCCCAAGCTGATCTCCTGTGCTCAAGAGATCCTCCTGCCTCAGCCTCACAGCTGGAATTTCAGGCACAATAGTGCCAGGCTCTTTGGGACTTTCATAGGGAAGCCTGTGAGGGTGCCTGGAAGAGTTCAATGGATTCTTTTAGTTTTCTTTTTTACTTTCTTTCCTTCCTTTTCTCTCTTCTTTTTTCTTTTCTTTTCTTTTCCTTTCCTTTCCTTTACCTTTCTTTTCTTTCTTTCTTTCTTTCTTTCTTTCTTTCCTTTTCTTTCTCTTTCTTCTTTCTTTCTTTTTCCTTCCTTTCTTTCTCCTGTTCCCTCCCTCCCTCCCTTCCTCCCTCCCTTCCTTCCTTCTTCCTTCCTTCCTTCCTTCCTTCCTTCTTTCTCCTTTTTCTTTGCTTTTCTTTCTTTTTGACAGGGTTACGCTGTTGCTTAGGCTGGATTCCAGTGGCACAATCACGATTCACTGCAGCCTCCGTCTCATGGACCCTCAAGGGATCCTCCCACCTCAGCCTCCCCAGTAGGTGGGATCACAGGTGTGGACCACCACGCCTGGCTAAATTTGCTATAAAAATTAACAGGTTTTAGCCAAGCACGGTGACTCATGCCTGTAATCCCAGCACTTTGGGAGGCTGAGGCAGGTGGATCACCTGAGGTTGGGAGTTCAAGACCAGCCTGGCCAACATGGTGAAACCCCATCTCTACTAAAAATACAAAAATCGCCAAGTGTGGTGGTGGGCGCCTGTAGTCCCAGCTACTTGGGAGGCTGATGCAGGAGAATTGCTTGAACCTGGGAGGCAGAGCTTGCAGTGAGCCAAGATCCACACCACTGCACTACGTCCTCGGCAACAGAGTGAGACTCTGTCTTGAAAAAAGAAAAAAAAAAGCCTCAGTCATATGGATTTGTCCTAGACTCTGATTTGTTTATGAAACTCCCACCTTACTTATGTAAGGAAACTTTTTTTTTTTGGTCATATTAACCTGTCTATTGCCAGTTTAATTTCTAGGAACCCAGCTAGGGAACCCACAGGGGAGATGGAAAAGGATTTTTTCTTCTCTAAAGTAACATTTAAGAAAACCTAACAGCGATACGTTGTTGCAAACTGAAGACCCAAGGAGGGTGGGCAGGTTTGTCATCCATGAGTCTTGGTTGGTTCTGATTTAACAAAAGTTCATCCCTCTCAAAGCCTTAACCTTTGATGTCCCCACTGTCATTGCCTCTGTTATCCAAGCATGGCTCCCCTGGATTTTTGCAGTTACCTCCCCGCTAGTCCTTGCTTCCACACTTGCCTCTCCCTCCTCCTGTTGTTCTCCACACAGCAGAGTGTTCCTTTATTTATTTATTGAGACAGGGTCTTGCTCTGTTGCCCAAGCTGGAGTGCAGCAGCACAATCTTAGCACACTGCAATCTCTGCCTTCTGAATTCAAGCGATTCTCCTGCCGTCCCGAGTAGCTGGGATCAAAAATGCACACCACCACGCCCGGCTAATTTTTGTATTTTTAGTAGAGACGGGGTTTCACCATGTTGGCCAGGGTGGTCTTGAACTCCTGACCTCAAGTAATCTGCTCACCTCAGCCTTCCAAAGTGCTGAGATTACAGGCAAGAGCCACCGCACCTGGCCTGGCCCAGAGTGTTCCTTTATAAACATCATTAGGGTTGTGAGCCTTTCCTGATTAAAAGGCCTCAGTGGCTTCTCACTGACCATACAGCCCTTTGGTGATGGGGTCTCTTCCTGTCTGTCGGGAATTAGGCCGCGTTCTCCAGATCACTGTGCTGCCATGATGTGGGGTCCTAGAGCACCTAGCCAGTTTAACTCTGAAACCACCATACAAGCAGGCTTTGGGCCTGAATATAATCAACACTGGACCTCTCAGGACAAATCTGTCAAATCGGATATAACATGAAAGCCCATGGATCAACCTTTTAAAGGCAATAAAATACCATGATACCTTTTAAAGACAAGGGACAATTTATGTAAGTTAAACTTCAGATTTTGTGTTCCTTTTCCTTTCCACTGCTAAGTTTGTAGCAATCGCCTGACAGTGATTTGATTGCTCAGGATTGTTATCTTTTGAGATTAACCTCAGTAAACACTTTAAAGAGGTATGTAATTTATGCAGCATGCCCTATGGCTATGAGGTAGAGTGCAACTCCATATACTAGCGTCATCCTAGGAAAAAAAAAAGGAAGAGTAGAGTCTGGAATTCTCAACTTGAGGCTATCTTGGCTTCTACCAACAAATGCAGTAGTTCCAGCTGGGCAGGTGGCAGGCTGAAGACTTTAGGCTCTACCTGTGCACTTTTTTTTTTTTCCTCTTCTCAGTTTTCATTGTATGAAAATGTTGTTTTGAGTTGCGCAATTTGAGCTTTCCAATTGTAAAGAGTGTTCTATACAATTAAGAGTTTGATAAAGAGTAAAAAAATTGAGAAATACGGTATCTGTAATGCAGATTATCATTTTTATAATAGAGTACCAGCATATATTGAAGACAAATGGTTAAACTTCTCAAAAAAGTAAAAATGTGCTGGGCGCAGTGGCTCACACCTATAATCCCAGCACTTTTGGAGGCCGACGTGGGCGGATCACCTGAGGTCAGGAGTTTGAAACCAGCCTTGACCACCATGGTGAAACTTCGTCTCTACTAAAAATACAAAAATTAGTTGGGCGTTGTGGCATCGGCCTGTAATCCCAGCTACTAGGGAGACTGAGGCAGGAGAATCACTTGAACCCGGGAGGCGGAGGTTGCAGTGAGCCTAGATCATGCCATTGCACTCCAGCCTGGGCAACAAGAGTGAAACTCCATCTCAAAAAAAAAAAAAAAAAAAAAAAGTAAAAATGTGGCCTTGCTAGTTAGGAAGCAACAAGAAAGGCGAGGTATGAATGACATAGGTAGACCAGCACGAAAGAGGCAGCAGAGCTGGGGAAAGAATCTCCATATGCAAATCCCTTCTGTCTTATTTGAAAGGGCTTTTTGAGTTGGCTAAGATACATAATCAGGCCAAATAACATGAATCGGCTGGGATCAGGTAAAGTGTAAAGCCATTTGAAGGCTTCCTTTCACTTAAGGCTTTGCAGGGGGTCTAGGACACAGAAAGAGAAAAAGAAATGGATTAGCCTTAGCAGGTAATCTGCAAATAAGGAAACGGCAACAGGTGGGAGGTTGATTTTTGTTGTAGGGACATCTCGTTGTGTGATGGGTATTTTCCTTGATATAAAAAGATGATGCTAATCCAATGAGATCAGCACACATGTCCAGAAAGCTTCTGACCATGGGGAAAGACTGGTGTTTGCTTAAAGGTAGTTGTTACTTTTAGAGAGTTCCCTAAACCCAGAATACTATATTCATTAGAGATCGGGCACTTTGAGATGAGTCTGGTGCTGAGTTGGTATATTTTATTTATTTAATCCTTACTATGTTTTTTTTCTTAGAGTAAGTGTATTGCTCCATATTGGTGTTAGAATTAAAGTTTGTTTTTTTTCCTTTCTTTTTGATGTAACGTGCTTCAGCTTGATGGTGTGCCTTGGTTATACCTGTCTAATCACTTGGTTTGTGACTCATGAATGACTAAGGCCCTGTATCTCCCGAGGAAGATTGTTAGAATCCTAGCCAGGAATGAAACAGCTCCTGAGTAATGTGAATTACACATTTAATCCTATCACAGGAAAGGCAAACTCTTTCTCTGCAGGCACTTCTAAGATTGTGATTGTATTTATAAGTGTTACCCTCTGTCTTGTATGGGCATGGGTGATCACTCTTTCTTGGGTACTTTAGCTCTAGTTGTTGCCTTTTATTTGTGGAAACCTCACAAAAGTGTCTTTAAAATTTCCGTCTTGAGTCAGTGAGCTATTTAAATTCAAGCAATAAGTTATTTGATACTCTTAAGAAGTCTTTTCCTCAGTGGCTGAAGGAACATCAAATGGGGATGGCAGTAGAAGAAGTGATTGCTAGTGTTGGAATTGGTGTATTTTGGTTTCTGAATACATGGGGAGATGGTTTAAAACCTTTTTGAAGTAAAGGTGTGAAGTCCATACATTACAGTTATCTCTAGAGATCCCTGGGGAATTGGTTCCAAGACTCCCCTCAGACACCCAAATCCACATATGCTCAAGTTCCTGATATAACATGGCATAGTATTTGCATATAATGTACACGCATTGTTCCATATACTTTAAATCATCTCTAGATTACTTGTAATACCTAATACAATGTAAATGTTATGGTAATAGTTGTGATACTATATTGTATAGGAAATAATGATGAAAAAATTCTGTATATGTTGTGTACAGGCACAGCCATCCATTTATATTTATTTTTAAATATTAATTTTTTTGAGATGGGGTATTACTCTGTTACCCAGGCTAGAGTGCAGTGGCATGATCTCGGCTCACTGCAATCTCTGCCTCCTGGGCTCAAGTGATCCTCCTGCCTCAGCCTCCCGAGTAGCCGAAACCATGGGTGTGCACCAGCATACTCGGCTACTTTTTTGTATTTTTGATAGAGATGGGGTTTCACCATGTTGTGCAGGCTGGCCTCGAATTCCTGCGTTCAAGTGATCTGCCTGCCTTGACCTCCCAAAGTGCTGGGACTACAGGTGTGAACCACCACGCCTGTCCTATTTTTTAATATTTTCGATTTGCGACTGGTTGAATCTTCAGATGCAGAACTCAAGGACAGGGCTGCTGACTGTACTTGTGCCTTCTCTTTCACTGCTTCAAGAGAACAGAATTTTGGCTAATTATTACCATTCATTGTGTTCACAGATTAAAACCCAGCCATGTACCTTGAATTTGCTGGGTGTCAGTCTTTAAATGGTTTCTACTTTTCCAGACTCCAAATGAATAGACTTGTAAATATGATTATGTTTCTGGATTACAGAAACAGTTATTAGGAGATAACTTTGGTTTTTGGCAGTTTTATTATGATATGCCTAGATTTGTCTTTTTTTGTATTCATCCTCTTTGGTGTTCCTAGAGTTTCTTCAATCTGTGGCTTGATACCTTTGTCAGTTTTGGAAAATACTGGCCAGTATTTCTTCAAATACTGATTCTGTCTAAGTACCCATTTTGCTGCATTTTCCCTTCTCTCTCAGGTTGCCTGTTATGCGTATGACAGACCTTTTTCATCTTATCCCATATGTTTGTTATGCTCTTTTATGTAGTTCTCATTCTTTTTAATTAGGAGATTTTTTCCCCCTTTCATGGTAATAATTTTCATCATTCATAATTTTCATCCTGGATGTTTTCTGTGTACTAGTCTTCCAGTTCACTAAATTCTCTTTCCTAATTTGTGTCTAAACTAGGAAAGCTGCTGTTAAACTCATCGATTGAATTCTTAATTTTTGTTTGTTTTTGTAGATCTTTGTTCCTTGGTGAGAGTCTGTCTTTTAATTTTCTTAAACACATCAATCTTTTGTTTTAATGTCAATGTCTGTTAACTCCAGTCTAGATTACTTGTGGGTCTGTTTCCATTTTCTCATTTCCGGAACATCAGGTTCTGTTTTTTGGCATGCCTGGCAATTTTAAAAATTTTTTTCATTATTTTTAAACTTATGATTCGTGAATCAGGCAGCCTTCAGAATCACAGCAGATTCAGAGAGATTCCTGATGCCTGGCAATTTTTTATTGAAAATTTGGATGATATCTTCATAGAGAGTGGATTTAACCTTCTTCTAGCAGTCTGAGCAGATCGCCATGATTGAGTAGACTGGTTTTTTGGTTTGTCCACATTCCCAGAGCATAATGCTTTTGGGATCTCTTTCCAGGGCTCCTCCTCTGTTAGGCACTCAACACCAACAAAATTTTGTCTCCCTAGTGCTGACAGACTGCTGAAATATCTGCTCAGAAATAGTAGAGGCTTCAGTAAGCCGACTCATTTCTTCTAGCAGCTTCTTCCTGCTTGGTTTGTCTGAGCTGTGCCCCAGGTGTGTACAATTTTTGTGTGCAAATACCCACCTTAAGAGGAAAGGGCACGCGGAATGCAGAGTTTGTTTCAGTGCTTCAGTCCCGCCATTCCGTGATTTTGGTTCCTCATGTCCTGGCCGCTTTGGTTGCTTTTATCAGACAGAACTCTTCAACAGTTTCTTCTTACTTTTTTTGGTCTACTTTTGTCGTTGTGCTTAGGAGGACTGTTTGGGAACAGCAACTCAATCATAGGCAGAGAGAAAGTTCGTCATGGATTACTTTGACTTTTAAAAATTAAAACTACATTTATTGAAGTTAACATTTCAAACCTGTTTCACAAGTTGTTAAGCTCATCTTAAGGTCTTACTCAAATAAATCTTTTTTGAGGCCTTTTGTAATTTGTTTAATGAAATAGTTCACATTTTATTGATACATTTAATATTCTTTTTTGTTTTAAATTTTTGCTCAACTTTTGGTTTGATTTACTTAATGATTTTCGTACCTAACTTTAAATCTCCCTAGAATTTAAATATACTTATTAATTAAGGAAATTATTATGTAATTGCAAACAATTTTGGAGTTTACCTTCTTTGCTGATTGAAGGTGCATAACAACTTCCGACATAAAGTCTGGAGCTATAAATTCAGAGAAATGTCTCCTGTTCCTGACTGCTTGGCTAAGCCCCTTTTGATAATAATGATGCTATAAACTCCGCAATTAAAAAAAATAGAGTTTCTTTTTTTTCCCTTTGTTTTTGAGATGGAGTCTCGCTCTATCGCTCAGGCTGGAGTACAGTGGCACGATCTCTGCTCACCGCAACCTCTGCCTCCCTGGTTCAAGCCATTCTCCTGCCTCAGCCTCCCAAGTAGCTGGGATTACAGGCACACGCCACCACACCTGGCTAACTTTTGTATTATTAGTAGAGACAGGGTTTCACCATGTTGGCCAGGCTGGTCTTGAAAAAAAATACAGAGATTCTGATGATGAGCATGTAGTCTGTCCCTGCACTTGACTTATATCATAATATGCTTTTCAAGCCAGACAAGTCTAACCCTCATCCATCCTTTTCCTGCTTTATCAGTTTTTTGTAATTTTCATACTCTTCCTATTTACTTATTAGGACCCATTTACTTATTAGGGATGTATTTGACATCTAATTGGAGTTTATGCATTCCAAGTTGTGCCTGTCTTCCCATTTAGGTTTTTAGGATGTTCTTATCACAATGGTATGGGCCATTCATTGGAAATGAAGCTGCTCATTGCCGCACATTTAAAAATGGACTTGTTTTAAATGTATTGTCACCTAGTGTTTGCAATCTCATTTATCTGGACTATCAACTTACTATTGCTTTTCTGTCTGCAGAAAGATAAAAACTCTCCAGATGTCTTCCAGTAATGTCGAAGTTTTTATCCCAGTGTCACAAGGAAACACCAATGGCTTCCCCGCGACAGCTTCCAATGACCTGAAGGCATTTACTGAAGGAGCTGTGTTAAGTTTTCATAACATCTGCTATCGAGTAAAACTGAAGAGTGGCTTTCTACCTTGTCGAAAACCAGTTGAGAAAGAAATATTATCGAATATCAAGTATGTACATGAACTTGTAAAAAGACAGCTTTTTAATTTACCTACAGTGAACCTCACAGGTTTTGGCTATTTCCAAGAAACTGGCTATGAACATTTTTGTACAAGTCTTTGCACAGATATACAGACACATGCTTTCATTTGTTTTAGCTAAACTAGGAGTGAAATAACTGGGCCACATTTTAGGTATATGTTTGACTCTCAAAGTAACTGCCAGACTTTTTTAAAAAATGCACCACATGTGGCTGGATATGGTGGCTCATGCCTGTAATCCCAGCACTTTGGGAGGCCGAGGCAGGCAGATCATGAAGTCAAGAGATCGAGAACATCCTGGCCGACATAGTGAAACCCTGTCTCTACTGAAAATACAAAAAATTAGCTGGGCGTGGTGGTGTGTACCTGTGATCCCAGCTACTTGGGAGGCTGAGGCAGGAGTATGGCTTGAATCTGGGATATCAAGTCTGCAGTGGGCGATGATTGTCCCACTGTACAAATAGGTGGCAAAGTGAGAGCCTATCTTAAAAGAAAAAGAAAAAGCGTACTTTGTGAGGGTGCATTTATTTTGCTTATTTTATCTTTTAAAGTTAGTAGATGAGTAACTTGATGCACTAGAAGTCTCGTCTGCTCAAGGCTTCACACTTTTTTTTTTTTTTTTGAGAGGGAGTCTCGCTCTATCACCCAGGCTGGAGTGCAGCAGCACAATCTCGGCTCACTGCAACCTCCACCTCCCGGGTTCAAGTGATTCTCCTGCCTCAGCCTCCCGAGTAGCTGGGATTACAGGTGTGTGCCACCATGCCTGGCTAATTTTTGTATTTTTAGTCAAGATGGGGTTTCACCATGTTGGCCAGGCTGGTCTTGAACTCCTGACCTCATGATCCACCCGCCTCAGCCTCCCAAAGCACTGGGGTGTGAGCCACTGTGCCAGGCCACGCATTTTTTTTTATGGTCAAATGGCATGCATTTCAGCAATAGATGAGTTCATCTTTACTGCATGAATAGAACTGTGTTCCTTACTAGGCTCATAAAAATGCAGTCAGATCTTGCAATTCTTTCACATTTTAGTGGAAAGGTCATCAGGGGTTGGTGTTTTTGCTGCTGGCATTTCCTGTTTAAGTATCCATGAGAAAGGCCTTTTTGGCTGTAGTATTTCCAGTCTTTCTCCTATCTGCTGGCTCCAACTCTAAATACAGTTTCTGGAGGTAGAGGAAGGGCTGCTGTCATTTATCTTACTTTTGATTTGTGTTTGATAGCAGCATCACCATTCAGATAGTCATCTACATTCCAAAAAAGCTGATGAGAATTTTGATTTTGGTTTTTCCTCTGGACATTTTGTAATTTCACTTCTAGAACTAAGTCACTATAACCTGATTTCCTCTGCAGGGGGAAGAAGATAAAAACAGTCTGACCATGAGAATTTAAAAAGTTGTGATTCTTCTGACTTAGGACAAATCTTTCTCTTATGCTTGTTTGTCTCCATACCCAGCATTTGAGCTTTCCCTCACCAACGCTGAAGATCTTATGGAAAAAAAAATTCATTCCCATAGATATGTGGATGTCCTGTTATTTTAAGAGAAATTCATTATACTCTTGGAACATTTTTAATTAATAACTTACTTTGAAATGATTTCAAATTTATTTATTTATTTTTTAGAGATGGAGTCCTGCTGCATCACCTAAGCTGGAGTGTGGTGCTGCAATCATAGCTCACTCTAAGCTCCAACTCCTGGGCTCAAGTGATTCTCCCGCCTCAGCCTCTGGAGTAGCTAGATGCCACAATGCCTGGCTAATTAAAAATTTTCTGTGTGTGGAGATGGGGTCTTCCTACGTTGCCCAGGCTGGCCTTGAACTCCTGGGCTTAAGTGATCCTCCCACCTTGGCCTCCCAAAGCACTGGGGTTATAAGCATGAGCCACTGCACCTGGCCTGATGTTAAATTTAAACGTTTCAGGAACATAACCCTTTTCATTCAGGTTCTCAGCCAACATTTCACTGCATTTGTTCTCATCACTTTGTCTCTTCATGTTCCCATGGTCATTACTGTTTTTTCTGAACCGTGTGAGTGCAGGCTGTCCACATGGTGCTTCCTTCTCCTTAACTCCTTTGTGTGTGTTCTTGAAAAAACGACCCTCTCCTATATAACCACTCAGACATTGTCCAGGAGGAGCCAAGGGGAAATGTAGCCTTGTAATGAAGGTCGTGGTAGGTCCTCAGGGCCTTGGGTCAACCATGCCCCTCACATATTTGACTGCCACCATATCCTGTCTCTTCAGTCTCATTCAACGTGGTATTTTCTTATCTCATCCCACCCCTGGTGATGTTAAAATTGATCACTTGGTCATGTTGATGTCTGCCAAACTTGGCTATAATGTCACCCTTTCCCCTTGGTAATTGATTAGTGTTATGAGGAGAGATAAACTGACATTATTCCAGAACTCCATTCTACATTAAACTTCACCAACTTCAGTCCCCACTGGATGACTCCTGCCTGAGTCAGCCACCACTATCATAGTCGCCAAACAGTGATTTTCTATTATCATTATCTCTTAGTTTGTTTTACTAAAAGGAAAAACCTTCATCTATCACCAGTATAGAGTCAGGGATTTGTATTTTATTCAATTAACGCATTATTATGTTTTACCTTCATACTCTTATTGTTCCTGATTTGGTGGGAGATCTTTCAAGGTGGGTTCTTCCCTCTCTCCGTCTCTCATTCTTTGGATATATCTCCTCATTCTTATTTTATTTTATTTTATTTTATTTTATTTTATTTTATTTTATTTTATTGAGATGGAGGTTTGCTCTTGTTGCCCAGGCTGGAGTGCAGTGGCATGATCTTGGCTCACTGCAACTTCCGGCTCCTGGGTTCAAGAGATTCTCCTGCCTCAGCCTCCTAGCTGGGACTACAGGTGCCCACCACCATGCCCAGCTAATTTTTTGTATCTTAGTAAAGACGGGGTTTCATCATATTGGCCAGGCTGGTCTCAAACTCCTGACCTCAGGTGATCCACCTGCCTTGGCCTCCCAAAATGTAGGGATTACAGGCATAAGCCACCGTGCCCAGCCTCTTTTTGTAATTAAACAAATTTTATTAGAGACAAGGTCTTACGTTGTTGCCCAGGCTGGAGTGCAGTGGCATGATCATAGCTCACTGCAGCCTCAATCTCTTGGGCTCAAGTGATCCTATCACCTCAGCCTCCTGAGTAGCTGGGACCACCGGCACATGCCACCACTTCCAGCTAACTTTTAAGTTTTTTGTAGAGATAGGGTTTCACTATGTTTCCCAGGCACATCTCAAACTCCTGGGCTCAAGTGTTTCTCCCACCTTGCCTCATTCTTTGAATATTTGCTTGGCACAGCGAGCAGTTCCAGACTCACTGTGTACTTACCCTGCCTCAGACCTAGAATCAGCTGTTGATTTTTATGGAGGAGATATTTACAAAACCAAAATCTAGGTGTTTAAAATGCTCATTGCTATTGGGATGTCATTGTTTCTAGGCTTTCTCAGTGGAGTGAGACCTAGAGAAGATATGTATGTGTATACGTCTACACACATACGCATACACATACATGCATAACTTTTTAAAAAACTACCTCCCACGTGCAGGTGCATACAGATCTGGCCAAAGCGGGCGGGAGAAGAGCTGGGGGAGCAGTGGTGACCATTCCCGCAGCACCCTGGGAGTTTCCATCTTTATGTTTCTATAGCTGTCTTTGTATATGGATTAAAACCTATGGCTTCTCATTAATTTCTCCAATTCTCATCTGAACCCTCAAGATTCTGTCTATATTTCCATGTTAGTAAAATTTCAAAAAGTGACAAATCTAGCTCTAATTGGCTAGAGAGGGTGGGAGATTGTTTATATTATGGAATAAGAAAATCAGCAAGTACATTAAGGATGTACGTTAAGGATATACTTCCTAATTTTCCTATTCCATAATATAAACAATCTCCCCACCCTCCAGCTATCTCTTCTCAACGTTTTTTAAAAGGTGAAAACATTTTTCCTTGTCTTTTTAGAAGTAATCCCATTTATAAAAATGCAGAAATTTATTTATTCAACAAATTTTGAATGCCTGCTAGTGCAGGACATTGTGCAAGATGCTAGTGACACAGGTAAATCCTCAGTTCAGGGAAGCCTTAAAGCCTAGTGGGGGATTCAGAACACACTTTCACGCTGATAAAAGGATTGATTAGAAGACCCAATGGGAGCCCCAACCCTAAATTGGAGGGCCCGGGCGTGGTGATTGAGAAAGTGAAGATTTTGTGTGTGTAGGGATGGGAGGGTGGGAGGGAGGTGAGCATTGACCTCTCTTGTCCATAAACAAAACAAGACCAAGGGATTAATCATTATCCACTAAAATGTAATAGAGGTGACAGGAAATTTTGGGGTAAATTTTATTCCCTGTGTTCCAGGTTCATGTTCAGTGGTTTACAACAACTGTGCTGTATGTCATGGGCAGGAGGGTGTGAGAGGTGGTAGCAATGTGGCATGCTGTTCTTGTTGACAGACTTTTATAGTGAGGGACACTGACCTGCATGCAAATGCTGTAAAGCAATAAATAAGGGTGGGGAATGCAGTTTCAGGGATGATAGAAGGGTGGAGGGTGGGGTGGGCAGGCCAGTGAATTGTAGACCATAGACTAGAACAGAGGTCAGCAGGCTGTTTCCATAAAGGGCAGATAGTATTAATAAACATTTTCAGCTTTGTGGGCCATGCGTCTGTGTTGCAGCTACTCAGCTGTGGTGTAGCATGAAAGCAGCCCTAGGTAATATGTAAGGGAATGAGCACGGCCCTGTTCCAACAACCCTTTGTCTAAGAAAACTGCTGATCCCTGGACTAGAATGTAAACTCCACAAGGGCTCAGACTTTGTTTTTCGTTTGTTTGTTTGTTTTGTTCTCAACTCTCCCATGCCCTAGAAGAATATCTTGTATGTACACAGTAAATACTTGATCATTGTGTTGAGTGGATGGAGTTGGAATTAGCCACTGCTCCAAATGGAAACTCTTGGCATTTATGACTGGACATTGTTGTTGTTTTCTGTAATGCCAGGGTTTCATCCCAAAGTAGTAAGCCAAGCTCTTTGTCTTAGAACATTCATGTTGAGGTTTGGGTTAATCATTTAGGATTGCTTGGTCTTTATTTGAGTAGGTATTTTAGAAACCTGGAAAGCTTTTCTGACAGTGGAGCCTTAGTGAATAACAAGCTTATGGTGATTTTAGAGGCAGTTATTAGGGACCTGTTTATAAAGAAGATGCATCAAGAGCTATAGATAAATGCACCTTGAAAATTTGCCCAATCATTAGTATGTTGTTTTACACATTTAGAGGGAAGAGTCCACTGAAAGAGTAAGAGATTTTTCTGTTAGATCTTGCTCCTGGTTTACCTAACTCCCATTGTCTTTGTGCAGCGTTTCACTGAGAGATACCCCAGTTAATGAGCAAAGTGAAAGCTACATTTCACTCTTGTACCCACCAGCCATTGTACAATTGTGATAGTTCAAGTACAACAGGCAGTAAATGCTCAGGGAGTCTTGGGTTTAAGCACTGTGGTGCAGTTGCTTATCACTCATAATTGTATAGGATCATAGGATTGGCCTCTGTGCTAATCATTATTTGAGAATGAAATAGTCTTTGGCTTTGACCTTCCATTTGGAATAGATATTACTTTCTCTGTGGAATATATTGTAACTTACTTATCAATTCTAAGGAGAGAATGGGCATAGATACCTGTGTTTTGAAAGGAACAAGCCAGGCCCCACCCTGAAGTCTCCTTTCTTCTTCTTCTTTTTTTTTTTCTGAGACGGAGTCTTGCTCTGTTGCCCAGGCTGGAGTACAATGACGTGATCTCGGCTCACTGCAACCTCCACCTCCTGGGTTCAAGTGATTCTCCTGCCTCAGCCTCCCGAGTAGCTGGGATTGCAGGCACCCACCACCGTGTCTGGCTAATTTTTGTATTTTTAGTAGAGACGGGGTTTTGCCATGTTGGCCAGGCTGGTCTAGAACTCCTGACCTCAAGTGATCCACCCGCCTCGGCTTCCCGAAGTGCTGGGATTACAGGCATGAGCCACCACACCCGGCCAAATTCTCCTTTCTCCAGTTCCTTCACTTATCATTCTACTTGCTATCTTTAGGAGAAAATCAAACTATTTGCTGTCTTCTTGGGTCTCAGCACAGTCAACACTGCCATAATTTTTTCCACCTTCCTTCTCTATCTGAATATTCACTACCCTCAGACATCCACTTTGTTTGAAACGTGCTTATGTATGTACCACGTCTTCATATTCTTAAAGGATGACCCTACCAAAGTGATGTCTTCTCCTTCTAAACTTGGAATTTTCCAGTGTATTTATCTGACTCTTAACAAGGAAGAAAATGATATATCTTGAGGATATATCTTTTACTTTTCTAAATGGATTAAGGCTTTTTTTTTCTTTCGGTCATGTTTTCTTTTTATCCTGAAGTGCTTTATCCCAGCCTCGATTTCTACTTAGATGTTTCTTGGGCTGATTAGATTTTAGCAGTGAGAATACTTCTACCGGTATTCCACAAATTAGCGACTTATTAATTGTGTAGAATTTGACTAGGTAGCAAATGTGACCACTTGAAGATACAGTACTGATCATCAAACAGTACTCAGAACACGCCATGTATTTCGTTTCACACTGTGTTAAGAGCAGTAAGTGTAACGGAGATGTTTCACAAGAATCTGTTAGTTATTTCAAGGAACGTTAAATGTTGAATGTCATTTTCCAGAAAATATAAATGGGTTAGAGAATAAGTGAAAGGAATTTAGAGGAATCTATGCCATTTTTCTTGTAGGACTTGACCAGTGATTAACATCCATTATATATTACACATCAAATCAACAATCTTTTTTTTTTTTCTTTAAGTAGAGACAGTGTCTCCCTATGTTGCCCAGGCTGGTCTCAAACTCCTGGCCTCAGGCAATCCTGCTTTGGTCTCCCAGAGTGCTGGGATTACAGGCCTGAGCCACCATGCATGACCTGTTTTGTTTGTTTGTTTTCTTTAAGAGTTGGTTTGTGCTTGTGTTCTATTTGTAATTTCATCAACCTTCATTGAGTATATTCAGTGCCTACCCTAAATTAATAGAACCTGACTTAAAATGGAATAGTAAATCAGTCTGTTTTTGTGTTTACAGTGGGATCATGAAACCTGGTCTCAACGCCATCCTGGGACCCACAGGTGGAGGCAAATCTTCGTGAGTATAAGAGAGTATAAGTAAGCGTTTTCTGTGCACTTTTAATGTGCTTTTAAAAGCCACTTTTTTTTGTGTGCGAGCAGGTATTTATTGAGCATTTGCAACGCATGTCAGGTCTGGTTCTAGGTGCTGTGGATAACTGTAGTTGCGTGGTTTTTTCCCAAAGACCAGGTAGTCTTATTAGGTTAGCTTTACTAATAGGATTTGATAAGGTGATTGACATGTAGCAGTTGACCATGTTATCAGCTAATAGGGAGGAAAAAGAATGGGAGAATATTAAAAGTAGGGAAAGGAAGCAGAAGATGTAAGTAAAGGCATGAGTCTTAGATAAAAGAGCACATTGCCTGTGTTAGTACCTCCAAGGTCAGACAGCTGGAAGGGCCATTTGGGAGATCTGTACTTGATCAGCCAATGGTGTCTTGCTTTATGTTTTGGGGCTTTATTGTAATGTACAATGAAAAGAGAAAGGTGAGAATTTTTAAAAGCATAATTTTAGTTAAACCATAGAATTTCTTGACCAGTTAATTTTCTAACTAAAGTAGAATTTGGATTCAAAGTAGCCATGAGATATATAGCATGTGTTGGAGGGAAAAAAACCCCACAACATATATATTCTCTTATAGGTTATTAGACCCACAACATATATGTCCTCTTATAGGTTATTAGATGTCTTAGCTGCAAGGAAAGATCCAAGTGGATTATCTGGAGATGTTCTGATAAATGGAGCACCGCGACCTGCCAATTTCAAATGTAATTCAGGTTACGTGGTACAAGTAAGTATTAGTGGGTTTGCATTTTCTGTTTCCTCTGTTTCTATATGGGTAAGTGCTTTGGCTGATAGTTCAATGTGCTTCCAGTTGATTATGTGACATGGTCCTAGAACTGACGTTCTTTACAGCAGCTTTTCTTAATTTCTCATAGACACTTATGTGAAAAGGCAGGGAGAATCTGGAATATGGCCCTTGTAAGGACAGTGATACCAATTCTAGTTTTTGTATCATTTCTAAAATGATACATACTACTGTTATCCTTTTTTGCCTTTCCTTCACCTTTCTTTTCCCCTAGCTTAGAAAGATATTTTGGCAAATCCTTGTATGAAGCAGTTTGGAAATGTCTGCTGGTAGTTAACATAATTACTTGCATTCTATTTGGGTGTACAGATAGGGGGTGAAAAATGATTATAGCAGGCTTTGCAGACATCTATGGAGTTAACTGTCATTTGCAGAACTGCAGGTTCATCATTAGCTAGAACTTTACCTTAGTTATGTTATCTTTGTGGATTATGTTATGTATACTAAACAGTCATGGTCTTAGAAAAGACTCATTATCATTATGTCTCATTAAAATGCTATTTGCCTTAAGGATGATGTTGTGATGGGCACTCTGACGGTGAGAGAAAACTTACAGTTCTCAGCAGCTCTTCGGCTTGCAACAACTATGACGAATCATGAAAAAAACGAACGGATTAACAGGGTCATTCAAGAGTTAGGTCTGGATAAAGTGGCAGACTCCAAGGTAATGTGGAAAAACTGAAAGCATCATGATCAGCATAAGTAGGACTTTCCCTGTGTGGATAAAATGACTCTGATTCAGAAGTTTCCTGTAATGTGTATGGTCAAAAATGGTTGCTTTCCATAACAATGAGAAAAGTGGCTTGTTACATAATATGAACGTGGAAATTAACCTGGAAAAAAAATCTTCACATTGGTTGAATTCTGCACCTGAAGTGAGGCAATGTGGTGTTGTACGTGAAAGTGTTCATCACCTGGCCTTTCCTTATGCTCCTCCCCCACCTCATGGTTTAAGTCACGTCTCATTCCGTGTCTGCACTAACTTTTCTTCTTCCTCTTTTTCTCTTCCTCCTTTTAGTCACTCTTCCTCCAAGGGACTTTGTTCCATTGCTATTGAGGTATATTTCTGGGATTGATAAGTGATGAGAGTCCAAGGATTCTTGCTCTGTATCAGCAGTCCCCAACTTTTGCCACCAGGGACCAGTTTTATGGAAGACAGTTTTTCTATGGACCAGGGTAGGGGGGATGGTTTTGGGATAATTCAAGTGCATTACATTTATTGTACACTTTATTTCTATTATTATTTCATTGTAATATATAATGAAATAATTATACAACTCATCATAATATAGAATCAGTGGGAGCCCTAAGCTTGTTTTCCTGCAACTAGATGGTCCCATTTGGGGGTGATGGGAAACGGTGACACATCATCAGGCATTAGATTCTCATAAGGAACACACAATTTAGATCCTCGTACATGCAGTTCACAATAGGGTTCATGCTCCTATGAGAATCTAATGCCGCCACTGACCTGACAGGTGGAGCTCAGGTGGTAATGCAAGCATTGGGGAGCGGCTGTAAATACCGATGAAGCTTTGCTCACTTGCCTGCTGTGCATCCTGGTTCCCCAGAAGTTGGGGACCCCTGCTCTATATGTTTCAGTTTCCTATAATTTGGCTTCCAAAATTATATTTGGTCAAATTAGGATTTATTTCTCATTTATGTAGTGTCTGTTTTTTTTAATAGCCTTTCTTTTAATAGTTTTGTCTCTCATTCCCTCCCTTCTCTGCCTCTTTTTCTTCTGCCAAATGTTTACAGACTTTTGTATGCTAAGCTGTCTTTTAGGTTCTAGAGATACAATTGTGGGCAAGAGAGACAAAGTAACTCCTCCTCTTGTGGGTTGGAGAGGATCGTGAAGAAAAAAATGACATGAATGAATGAACTTTACAATTGATTAATATGTTTGGAAGATTTGCTGAGAAGATATTTGAAGCTTTGGGTGAAAATGAGCTTTTTGCATTGTAATGGCTATAGTGTAATCCCCTGTGATATCCCTTACTTAGAAGCAATGAAGAATGAGATGTTCTAATGGTGTATACTTCATATTATGCTTTCTGACAGTCCTTTCTGTTCAGGGTGTTTTACTGTATTTTGTTTGGAAGAGTAACTCTGAGATGCCACCATTCACTACTTATTTCCGCTTTATGAGTGATTGGGTTTTCTTTGCTTTGGTTCTGTTTGATTTTATCTTACCAGTAAGGTGTTTTGTTCCACTCTATTCTTTACCTTCAGGCAGCCATTGCCCTATGTTGCTTGTTAGGATATCTAGGGAAAATAGACTGTGAAGGCACAGCTATTGACTTCCTAGTTTATTTATCTAAATAATTGAAGCAATACATTTAAAATATGTTACTTTTTGTGAAATTTTAAACATAACAGAAATGTAGAGTGAATTGTCTGATTACTATAGTAATGATATGGCTATAGTATAATTAATATAATAATGAGACAATTAATATCATTTACATAGATTTCCCAGTTATTAACCTTAGGTATATATGGGGTCAATTTGGGGAGCCTCATGGTAATTGAAAAGGTGTTAATATCATATGAGAGAAAGTGAACTCTCCTAGCTGCAGAGCCCATGCTCTTATTGTAAGTCCACCTGGAGGCTGGGAGGGGAGAGAGTGTTAGAAGACTAATAATTATAGTTGCATTCACATTTTCTTCTCCTGACTTTATCTCCCTTTTTAGACTGTGATTTCACCATGTCACCTATCTTTTAGTGTTCTGAACTTCAAACTACATATTTGACTTGGTGAAGAACAAACTGTTAAAAGCAGGTGCTTTTTTTAAAAAATTTTATCTTTCACTAAAGTTCTGGGATACATGTGCAGAACGTGCAGGTTTGTTACATAGTATACATGTGCTATGGTGGTTTGCTGCACCCTTCAACCCATCATCTACATTCGGTATTTCTCCTAATGCTATCCCATCCCTAGCCCCTGACACCCTGACAGGCCCCAGTGTGTGATGTTCCACTCCCTGTGTCCATGTGTTCTCATTGTTCAACTCCCACTTATGAGTGAGAACATGCAGTGTTTCGTTTTCTGTTCCTGTGTTAGTTTGCTGAGAATGATGGTTTCCAGCTTCATCCATGTCCCTGCAAAGGACATGAACTCATTCTTTTTTATGGCTGCATAGTATTCCATGGTGTATATATGCCACATTTTCTTTATTCAGTCTATCATTATGGGCATTTGGGTTGGTTCCAAGTCTTTGCTATTGTGAATAGTGCTGCAATAAATACATGTGTGCATGTGTCTTTATAGTAGAATGATTTATAATCCTTTGCGTATATACCCAGTAATGGGATTGCTGGGTCAAATGGTATTTCTGGTTCTAGATCCTTGAGGAATCACCACACTGTCTTGCACAATGGTTGAACTAATTTACACTCCCATCAACAGTGTAAAAGCATTCTTATTTCTCCACATCCTCTCCAGCATCTGTTGTTTCCTGACTTTTTAATCATCGCTATTCTAACTGGCATGAGATGGTATCTTATTGTGGTTTTGATTTGCATTTCTCTAATGACCAGTGATGATGAAGTTTTTTTCATATGTTTGCTGGCTACATAAATGTCTTCTTTTGAGAAGTGTCTGTTCATATCCTTTGCCCAATTTTTGATGGGGTTGTGTTTTTCTCATAAATTTGTTTAAGGTCTTTGTAGTTTCTGGATATTAGCCCTTTGTCAGATAGATTGCAAAATTTTTCTCCCATTCTGTAGGTTGCCTGTTCACTCTGAAGATAGTTTTTTTTTTTCTTTCTTTTTTTTTGCTGTGCAGAAGCTCTTTAGTGTAATTAGATCCCATTTGTCAATTTTGGCTTTTGTTGCAATTGCCTTCAGTGTTTTAGTCATGAAGTCTTTGCCCATGCCTATGTCCTGAAGGGTATTGCCTAGGTTTTCTTCTGGGGTTTTTACAGTTTTAGGTCTTACATTTAAGTCTTTAATCCATCTTGAGTAGAGGTGTAAGGAAGTGGTCCAGTTTCAGTTTTCTGCATATGGCTAGCCAGTTTTCCCAGCACCATTTATTAAATACAGAATCCTTTCCCCGTTGCTTGTTTTTGTCAGGTATGTCAAAGATCAGATGGTTGTAGATGTGTGGCATTATTTCTGAGGCCTCTGTTCTGTTCCATTGGTCTATATATCTGTTTTGGTACCAGTACCATGCTGTTTTGGCTACTGTAGCCTTGTAGTATAGTTTAAAGTCAGGTCACGTGATGCCTCCAGCTTTGTTCTTTTTGCATAGGATTGTCTTGGCTATACAGGCTTTTTTTTGGGTTCCATATGAAATTTAAAGTAGTTTTTTTTCTAATTCTGTGAAGAAAGTCAATGGTAGCTTGATGGAGATAGCATTGAATCTCTATATTACTTTGGGCAGTATGGCCATTCTCATGATATTGATTCTTCCTATCCATGAGCATGAAATGTTTTTCCATTTGTTTGTGTACTCTCTTATTTCCTTTGTGGTTTGTAGTTCTCCTTGAGGAGGTTTTTCACATCTTTTGTAAGTTGTATTCCTAGGTATTTTATTCTCTTTGTACCAATTGTGAATGGAAGTTCATGATTTGGCTCTCTGTTTGTCTATTATTGGTGTATAGGAATGCTTGTGATTTTTGCACATTGATTTTGTATCCTGAGACTTTGCTGAAGTTGCTTATCAGCCTTCAGAGATTTTGGGCTGAGACAAGGGGCTTATCTAAATATACAATCATGTCATCTGCAAACAGAGACAATTTGACTTCCTCTCTTCCTATTTGAATACACTTTATTTCTTTCTCTTGCCTGATTGCCCTGGCCAGAACTTCCAATATTATGTTGAATAGGAGTGGTGAGAGAGTGCGTCCTTGTCTTGTGCCGGTTTTCAAAGGGAATGCTTCCAGCTTTTGCCCATTCAGTATGATATTGGCTGTGGGTTTGTCATAAATAGCTCTTATTATTTTGAGATACATTCCATCAATACCTAGTTTATTGAGAGTTTTTAGCATGAAGGGGTGTTGAATTTTATCGAAGGCCTTACTGCATCTATTGAGTTAATCATGTGGTTTTCGTCATTTGTTCTATTTATGTGATGGATTACATTTATTGATTTCTATATGTTGAAGCAGCCTTGCATCCCAGGGATGAAGCTGACTTGATCATGGTGGATAAGGTTTTTGATATGCTGCTGGATTCAGTTTGCCAGTAGTTTATTGAGGATATTCACATTGATGTTGATCAGGGATATTGGCCTGAAATTTTCTTTTTTTGTTGTGTCTCTGCCAGGTTTTGGTATTAGAATGATGCTGGCCTCATAAAATGAGTTAGGGAGAAGTTCCTCTTTTTCTATTGTTTGGAATAGTTTCAGAAGGAATGGTACCAGCTCCTCTTTGTACCTCTGGTAGAATTCGGCTGTGAATCTGTCTGGTCCTGGACCTTTTTTGGTTGGTAGGCTATTAATTATTGCCTCAATTTCAGAACTTGCTATTGGTCCACTCAGTGATTCGACTTCTTCCTGGATTAGTCTTGGGAGGGTGTGTGTGTACAGGAAAATCCATTTCTTCTAGATTTTCTAGTTTATTTGCGTAGAGGTGTTTATAGTATTCTTTGATGGTAGTTTGTATTTCTGTGGGATCAGTGATTATATCCCCTTTATCATTATTTATTGTGTCTATTTGATTCTTCTCTCTTCTTTATTAGTCTAGCTTGAGGTCTATGTATTCTATTAAACTTTTCAAAAAACCAGCCCTGGATTCGTTGATTTGTTTGAAGGGTTTTTTCCTGTCTCTATCTCCTTCAGTTCTGCTCTGATATTAGTTATTTCTTGTCTTCTGCTAGCTTTTTGAACTTGTTTGCTATTGCTTCTCTAGTTCTTTTAATTGTGATGTTAGGGTGTCGATTTTACATCTTTCCCACTTTCTCCTGTGGGCATTTAGTGCTATAAATTTCCCTCTAAACACTGCTTTAGTTATGTCCCAGAGATTCTAGTACGTTGTGTCTTTGTTCTCATTGGTTTCAAAGAATTTATTTATTTCTGCCTTCATTTCATTATTTATCCAATAGTCATTCAGGAGCAGGTTGTTCAGTTTCCGTGTAGTTCTACAGTTTTTTTTTTTTTTTTTTTTTTTTTTTTTGAGACAGAGTCTTGCTCTGTTGCCCAGGCTGGAGTGCAGTGGTGCAGTCTCAGCTCACTGCAAGCTCCACCTCCTGGGTTCACGCCATTCTTCTGCCTCAGCCTCCCAAGTAGCTGGGACTACAGGCTTCCACCACTTAGCCCGGCTAATTTTTTGTATTTTTATTAGAGATGGCATTTCACCACGTTAGCCAGGATGGTCTTGATCTCCTGACCTCATGATCCGCCTGCCTCGGCCTCCCAAAGTGCTGGGATTACAGGCATGAGCCACCACGCCCAGTCATAGTTGTGCAGTTTTGAGTGAGTTTTTTTTTTTTGAGACAGAGTCTCGCTCTGTTGCCCAGGCTTGAATGCAGTGGCGCGATCTTGGCTCACTGCAAGTTCAGCCTCCCAGGTTCACACCATTCTCCTGCCTCAGTCTCCTGAGTAGCTGGGACTACAGGTGCCCGCCACCACGCCCAGCTAATTTTTTGTATTTTTAGTAGAGACGGGGTTTCACCGTGTTAGCCAGGATGGTCTTGATCTCCTGACTTCAAGATCCACCTGCCTCAGCCTTCCGAAGTGCTGGGATTACAGGCATGAGCCACCACGCCTGGCCTTGAGTGAGTTTCTTAATCCTGAGTTCTAATTTGATTGCAATGTGGTCTGACAGACTGTTGGTTATGATTTCCGTTCTTTTGCATGTGATGAGGAGTGTTTTACTTCCAATTATGTGATAAATTTTAGAATAAGTGCTGTGTGGTGCTGAGAAGAATGTATATTCTATTGCTTTGGGGTAGAGAGTTCTGTAGGTGTCTGTTAGGTTCACTTGGTCCAGAGCTGAGTTCAAGTCCTGAATATCCTTGTTGATGTCGATGATCTGTCTAATATTGACAGTGGGGTGTTAAAAGTTTCCCACTATTATTGTGTGGGAGTCTGAAGTCTCCTTGTAGGTCTCTAAGGACTTGCTTTATGAGTCTGCATGCTCCTGTATTGGGTGCATATAGATTTTAGATAGTTAGCTCTTCTTGTTGAATTGATCTCTTTACCATTATGTAATACTCTTCTTTCTCTTTTTTGATCTTTGTTGGTTTTAAGTCTGTTTTATCAGAGACTGGGATTGCAACCCCTGCTTTTTTTGCTTTCCATTTGCTTGACAGATCTTCCTCCATCTCTTTATTTTGAGCCTATGTGTATCTTTCATGTGAGATGGGTCTCCTGAATACAGCACACCGATGGGTCTTGACTCTTTATCCAATTTGCTAGTCTGTGTCTTTTAACTGGGGCATTTAGCCCATTTACATTTCAGGTTAATATTGTTATGTGTGAATTTGATCCTGTCATTATGATGTTAGCTGGTTATTTTGCCCATTAATTGATGCAGTTTCTTCATAGTGTTGATGGTCTTTACAATTTGGTATGTTTTTGCAGTCACTGGTACCAGTTTTTCTGTTCTATATTTAGTGCTTCCTTGAGGAACTCTTGAAAGGCAGGCCTGGTGGTGACAAAATCCCTCAGCACTTGCTTGTCTGTAAAGGAATTTATTTCTCCTTCACTTATGAAGCTTAGTTTGGCTGGATATGAAATTCTGGGTGAAAAATTCTTTTCTTTAAGAATTTTGAATATTGGTCCCCACTCTCTTCTGACTTATAGGGTTTCTGCAGAGAGATCTGCTGTTAGTCTGATAGGCTTCCCTTTGTTGGTAACACAACCTTTCTCTCTGGCTGCCCTTAACATTTTTTCCTTCATTTCAACCTTCATGAATCTGATGATTATGTGTCTTGGGGTTGCTCTTGAGGAGTATCTTTGTGCTGTTCTCTTTATTTCCTGAATTAGAATGTTGGCCTGTCTTGCTAGGTTGGGGAAGTTCTTCTGGATAATATCCTGAAGAATGTTTTCCAACTTGGTTCCATTCTCCCTGTCACTTTCAGGTACACCAATAAAACGTAGGTTTTGTCCTTTCACATAGTCCCATATTTCTTGAAGGCTTTGTTTGTTCCTTTTCATTCTTTTTTCTCTAATCTTGTCTTCACGCTTTATTTCATTAAGTTTATTTCATTAATCTCTTATATCCTTTCTTCCGCTTGATTGATTCAGCTATTGATACTTGTGTTTGCTTCACGAAGTTCTTGTGCTGTGTTTTTCAGCTTCATCAGGTCATTTATGTTCTTCTATAAACTGGTTATTCTAATTAGCAATTCCTCTATCCTTTTTTCAGTGTTCTTAGCTTCCTTGCATTGGGTTAGAATATGCACCTTTAGCTTGGAGGAGTTTGTTATTACCCACCTTCTGAAGCCTACTTCTGTCTATTCATCAAACTCATTCTCCATCCAGTTTTGTTCCCTTGCTGGCGAGGAGCTGTGATCCTTTGGAGGAGAAGAGGCATTCTGCCTTTTTGCACAGGTTTTTCCTCATCTTCATAGATTTATCTACCTTTGGTCTTTGATGCTGGTGACCTTTGGATGGGGTTTTGGTGTGGATTTCCTTTTTGTTGATGTTGATGCTATTCCTTTCTGTTTGTTAGTTTTCCTTCTAACAGTCAGGCCTCTCTGCTGCAGGTCTGCTGGAGTTTGCTGCAGGTCCACTCCAGACCCTGTTTGCCTGGGTATCACCAGCAGAGGCTATAGAACAGCAAAGATACCCCAAAGATTGCTGCCTGTTTTTTTTCTCTGGAAGCTTTGTTCCCAGAGGGGCACCCGCCAGATGCCAGCTGGAGCTCTCCTGTATGAAGTGTCTGTCGACCCCTGCTGGGAGGTGTCTCCCAATCAGGAGGCACAGGGGTCAAGGACCCATTTGAGGAGGCAATCTGTCCCTTAGCAGAGCTCTAGCGCTGTGCTGGGAGATTCACTGCTGTCTTCAAAGCCAGCAGGCAGGAACGTTTAAGTCTGCTGAAGCTGTGCCCACAGCCTCCCCTTACCTCAGCTGCTCTGTCCCAGGGAGGTGGGAGTTTTATCTATATACCCCTGACTGGGGCTGCTGCCTTTCTTTCAGAGATGCCCTGCATAGAGAGGAGGAATCTAGAGAGGCAGTCTGGCTACAGTGGCTTTGCCAAGCTGTGGTCGGCTCTACCCAGTTCGAATTTCCCAGAGGCTTTGTTTACACTGTGAGGGCCTACTCAAGCCTCAGTAATGGTGGATGCCCCTCCCCCCACCAAGCTCAAGCTTCCCAGGTTGACTTTAGACTGCTGTGCTGGCAGTAAGAATTTCAAGCCAGTGGATCTTAGCTTGCTGGGCTCTGTGGGGCTGGGATCCGCTGAGCTAGGCTAGACCACTTGGTTCCCTGGCTTCAGCCCCTTTTCCAGGGGAGTGAACAGTTTTGTCGCGCTGGCATTCCAGGCACCACTGGGGTATGAAAAAAAAACTCCTGCAGCTGTCTCAGTGTCTGCCCAAATGGCCACCCAGTTTTGTGTTTGAAACCCAGGGCCCTGGTGATGTAGGCACCTGCGGGAATCTCCTGGTCTGCGGGTTGTGAATACCATGGGAAAAGTACAGTATGTGGGCCGGAATACACCATCCCTCGTGGCACAGTCCCTCACGGCTTCTCTTGGCTAGGGGAGGGACTTCCCCCACCCCTTGTGCTTCCTGGGTGAGGCATAGCCTCACCCAAGGAGGTGCTTTGTATCAGGCTTAGTTACTGACCAGCTGTGACCTGAACCTAAGTTTACTCATCTGATAAAAGAGATACCTACTTTTTCTACCAGGTATCCACTTATTTGCTGTTCAGAATAAATGAACTTAATGAGATAAAGTGTCTCTTACAGGACTGGCACACGTTAGGAGCTCACCAAATGATAATGACTGGTTGTTATCATTGACAATTATAATATTTGTGATTTAGGTTGGAACTCAGTTTATCCGTGGTGTGTCTGGAGGAGAAAGAAAAAGGACTAGTATAGGAATGGAGCTTATCACTGATCCTTCCATCTTGTTCTTGGATGAGCCTACAACTGGCTTAGACTCAAGCACAGCAAATGCTGTCCTTTTGCTCCTGAAAAGGTAAATGCTCTGGAAACATTATTCTTTAGTTAATATCTTATCACTACTATGTCCCAGATATTCTTGGGGCAGGGGGTTCAGAAATGATCAAAGTAATTTCTTCCTCTTCTGTTGGAGTGAAAGTCAGTTAACAAATGAAAAGCATTATCAAGAAAAACAAAGCAGGTAAGAATGTAGGGAAGGATGTCTGTGATGAGGGTGTAGGGGGGTTGGGCCTGTTTTGCTGCTGTCTCTTTAGCTTCTTTACTCAACACCAACAGACACACACATACACATTTTTTCTCCCTCTCTCTGCTCTATAACACTGAACATTTTGTAGTTTTCTGAGTAGACCTTTTTATTTCACACCTTTTTCATCTTATTCTTCCACCTTCAGTACTTTTTCTTTTTCTTCTTAGCTTCCTCCTGTTGGGCCTTTTTTACTCTACTTATATCATCTTCAGACTGGGTTGTGAGTCTCCCATTTTGCTTATGAGGAATCCTTAGCATCTTCTATTTCATATTGTACTGAAATTGTTGACCTACTGGCCTGATCCTCTTTGAGGCAGAATGTTTTTGTGTACACTGCTAGCATACAGTAAGTTCTTAGAAAATGTTAAAATTGAAGTGACTCTTCACATAAAATATTTTGAATAGTAACAGTTTTGAACAGTGATTTTGGCCCTTCTTCCACCTGTGTATTGTTATTATAATTATTACAAATGTTATTACAATTCAAGGTGAGATTTGGGTGGGGACACATATCATTCTGCCCCTGGCCCCTCCCTCCCAAATCTCATGTCCTCACATTTTAAAACCAATCATGCCTTCCCAACAGTCTCCCAGAGTCTTAACTCATTTCATCATTAACTCAAAAGTTCACATTCTAAAGTCTCATCTGAGACAGGGCAAGTTCCATCCACCTATGGGCCTGTAAAATCAAAAGCAAGTTAGTAACTTCCTAGATACAATAGGAGTACAGGCATTGGGTAAATACACCTGTTCCAAATGGGAGAAATTGGCCAAAACGAAGGGGCTACAGGTCCCACGCAAGTCCGAAATCCAAAGGGGCAGTCAAATCTTAAAGCTCTGAAATTATCTTCTTTGATTCCATATCTCACGTCCAAGTCACACTGATGCAAGAGGTGGGCTCCCAGGGCCTTGGGAGGCTCTGGCCTTGTGGATTTGCAGGGCACAGCCCCTTTTGTGGCTGATTTCACAGGCTGGTATTGAGTGTCTGTGGCTTTTCCAGATGCACAATTCAAGCTGTTGGTGGATCTACCATTCTGGGGTCTTAAGGATGATGGCCCTCTTCTCACTACTGCACTAAGCAGTGCCTCAGTGGGGGCCCTGTGTAGGGGCTCCCACCCAACATTTCCCATCTGCAGTGCCCTAGCAGAGGTTCTCCATGAGGGCTCCACCCCTAAAGTTGACTTTTGCCTGGACATCCAGGTATTTCCATACATCCTCTGAAATCTAGGTGAAGGGCAGGCCTAACACCACATGGAAGCTGCCAACTCTCTGTTGGTCCCCTTTAACCATGGCTGAAACATAGGGTACCAAGTCTCGAGACTGTACAAAGCAGCAAGGCCCTGGGCCTGGCCTAGGAAACCATTTTTTCCTCCTAGGCCTCTGGGCCTGTGATGGGAGGAGCTGCTGTAAAGACGTCTGACATTCCCTGGAGACATTTTCCCCATTGTCTTGGTGATTAACATTTGGTTCCCTATTACTTATGCAAATTTCTGTAGCAGGCTTGAATTTCTCTTCAGAAAATGGGTTTTTCTTTTTTATCGCATCATCAGGCTGCAAATTTTCTGAGCTTGTATGCTCCGCTTCCCTTTTAAACATAAGTTCCAATTTCAAACCATATCTTTGTGAATGAATAAAACTGAATGCTTTTAACAGCACCCGAGTCACCTCTTGAATGCTTTGTTGCTTAGAAATTTCTTCTACCAGATGCTCTAAATCATCTCTCTCAAGTTCATAGTTCCACAGATCTCTAGGGCAGGGGCAAAATGCCACCAGTCTCTTTGCTAAAACATAGCAAGAGTCACTTTTATTCCAGTTCCCAACAAGTTCCTCATCTCCATCTGAGACCACCTCAACCTGGACTTCATTGTCCATATCACTGTCAGCATTTCAGCCAAAGCCAATCAACAAGTCTCTAGGAGGTTCCAAACTTTCCCACATCTTCCTGTCTTCTTCTTAGCCCTCCAAACTGTTCCAGCCTCTGCCTGTTACCCAGTTCCAAAGTGGCTTCCAGATTTTTGGGTATCTTACAGCAGCATCCTGCTCTACCAGTACCAATTTACTGTATTAGTTTGTTCTCACACTGCTAATAAAGACATACCTGAGGCTGGGTAATTTATAAGGGAAAGAAGTTTCATGGACTTACAGTTGCACATGGCTGGGGAGATCTCACAATTTTCGTGGAAGGCAAAGAAGAAAAGGCATGTTGTACATGGCAGCAGGCAAGAGAGCTTGTGCAGGGGAACTCCCATTTATAAAACCATCAGATCTCGTGAGAGTTTTTCAGTACCACGAGAACAGTATGGGGGAACTTCCCCCATGATTCAATTATCTCCACCTGGCCCCATCCTTGATATGTGGGGATTGTTACAATTGAAGGTGAGATTTGGGTGGGCACACAGCCAAACCTTATCAACCTGTAAGTCATAACTCCTGTGAAAAGGTACTTTAGCACTATTTTGGTCATGGACTTAGACCAGAGATTAAATCCCAGCCTTGCCTCTTACTAACTGTGATCCCTTGGCCAGTTGCTTGATCCTTTAAGACATATTTATAAAATGAGGGTAATAATAATAATATTGGAACTGCCTCATGACAATATTGTGAAAATTGAAATGAAGTTATCTCTAAATTATTTAGCAAAGACATAGTAAGTACTCAGTTATGTTAATTGCATTATTAGGGCAGAAGAGTGAAAACCAATTTTTAAAGAGCCAGAAGACCTAAATGATAAGTCAGAATGAGATATATGACCATTGTTTTAATATGCAGTCCATAGTTAGTTCTCAAACTTGTAAATACTTGCAGATTACCTGGGTTGCTTCTTAAAATATGGATTCCCTAGACCTACTGCCAGAGATTCTAATTCAATGTCTGGGAAGACTGTCCTAGAATCTGCATTTTTAATAACTATTCTAGTTGATTCTAGATTGTCAATACAACACACTGAAAATTCCTATTCTGTTTTAATAAAAGCATTGAATTTAGGTTTGCTAACTATAGCTAAATAATATGAGATGAAAAGTTAGTAAGACAAAGTCAGGCTGAACTAGAGCAAACAATCTAAAGGCAAGAATAGAGTATTTTACTGAGAAATACAAGTTTCAGATATTTAATGACTTAGTATTGTCTCACTTTTAACTTAGGATGTCTAAGCAGGGACGAACAATCATCTTCTCCATTCATCAGCCTCGATATTCCATCTTCAAGTTGTTTGATAGCCTCACCTTATTGGCCTCAGGAAGACTTATGTTCCACGGGCCTGCTCAGGAGGCCTTGGGATACTTTGAATCAGCTGGTATGGTTGACTTTTTTATGCTGTAAAATGCTTCATTAATAGAATCCTGAAGGAGAGCAAAGGGGGTCTGCAGGAGTGCTGTTTGGTCTTTGGGTAGACATACCATGAGAATCTATCACTTCAAAATGTGTTTGTTCCATTTGGTGCTAGTATTTTTCTTCATTTTTGTAGCACCAGCTTGTTATTTAGGTATCTTTCTTGTCTTATTTCAATGTGCATGCATGTGTGTATTTCTACTGGGCCTATATTCTGCTTCCTAGTTACAGTGACCATTTCTTAAAAGCTCAGTAATTAATATGTTGGCCTTATAGCCATTTATTCTGTCACTTGAACATTTTTGGGAAGGCCTAATATGATTGTCTTCTTGACCATATAACAGATGAGGCCTTAAAATTTTTTCCCCTTGCACATGTTGGTCTGCCTTGATGAGCACTCATGGAAATGCTACTTAATTTTGTTTATTTTTATTTTTGAGATGGAGTCTTGCTCTATTGCCCAGGCTGGAGTGCAGTGACGTGATCTTGGCTCACTGCAAGCTCTGCCTCTCGGGTTCACACCATTCTCCTGCCTCAGCCTCCTGAGTAGCTGGGACTGCAGGCGCCCACAACCATGCCCGGCTAATTTTTTTGTATTTTTTTAGTAGAGACAGGGTTTCACCCTGTTAGCCAGGAGGATGGTCTTGATCTCCTGACCTTGTGATCTGCCACCTCGGCCTCCCAACGTGCTGGGATTATAGGTGTGAGCCACTGCACCCAGCAAATTTTATTTAAGGTTTTTTTTTTTTCTTTTGAGATAGGATCTCACTGTGTCACCCAGGCTGGAGTGCAGTGGCACAATCTTGACTCACTGCAGCCTCAACCCCCCGCGCTCAAGCCATCCTCCCACCTCACCCAAGCAGCTGGGACTATAGACACATGCCACCATGGCTATCTAATTTTTGTATTTTTTGTAGAGTCGGGGTCTTGCCATGTTGCCCAGGATGGTCTCAAACTCCTGAGCTAAAGCAATCTGCTGTGGCCTCCCAAAGTGTTGGGATTACAGGTGTGAGCCACTGTGACCGGCAGACACTACTTAATTTTCTGGTAACTATAGATTGCAGCTTTAGCCCTTGAGTGGGTATCGGTCAATAGAGTGGTTAGTCCTAAACCTGACTTAGATGGGCCAAAATTTCTAACAATCTTGGACAGCATGGTTCTTTTTATTTCAAATTGAAATGTGTGATTTTTAAAATTTTAGATAGAAATGTGTGATTTTTTGGCCGGGCGCGGTGGCTCACGCCTGTAATCCCAGCACTTTGGGAGGCCGAGGCGGGCGGATCACGAGGTCAGGAGATCGAGACCATCCTGGCTAACACGGTGAAACCCCGTCTCTACTAAAAATACAAAAAATTAGCCGGGCGTGGTGGCGGGCGCCTGTAGTCCCAGCTACTCGGGAGGCTGAGGCAGGTGAATGGCGTGAACCCGGGAGGCGGAGCTTGCAGTGAGCCGAGATCGCGCCACTGCACTCCAGCCTGGGTGACAGAGCGAGACTCCGTCTCAAAAAAAAAAAAAAAAAAAAAAAAAAAAAAAAAAAAAAGAAATGTGTGATTTTTTTTAATGGCTTGTGCGGTCTGCATCATTTTAGATATATTTGGATATGATTACAAATGATTCCCTATGATCCTAAATATAATTTTAGATATTCATTGGCCATGTTTCTTAATTAGGTTTTAATAAAGGGGATGAACTAAGAGTCAGACTTCAGGCCACGCTGAGTTCAGATGATCTCATCATCCAAAGCTGAATGGTTCAGGTGTGCTGTGCTGGCCATGTTCTATCGAGAATACTGCTCAGGGGATTTGTTCTCTATTTGGAATTACAGCAGCACAGCAGTTGATTTGGATTTCTGAATTAATTAATTAATTAATTTACCTTTGAGACAGAGTCTCACTCTGTCGCCCAGGCTAGAGTGCAGTGGTGCTTTCAGAGCTCACTGCAACCTCCACCTCCCAGGTTCAAGCAATTCTTGTGCCTCAGCCTCCTTAGTAGCTGGGATTATAGTCATAAGCCAATGCACCTGGCTAATTTTTGTGTTTTTAGTAGAGATGGGGTTTTGCCATGTTGGCTAGGTTGGTCTGGAAGTCCTGGGCTCAAGTGGTTTGCTGGTCTCGGCCTCCCGAAGTGCTAGTATTACAGATGTGAGCCATTGCACCCAGCGCTGGACCTCTGAATTTAGTATGTGGGGAAGTAGTCATTGCTAATGTGGGTTCTATCATTCTGGCATTCTGTCGGTGAACTCAGAGAGCAGAACACACCTGGGCTTTTGGATTTTTTTCTTGGGTCTATATTTAGATTTTTGAGGAAGTACTGTTAAGCACCAGAGCATACTGATAGCTATTTCAGGTCTCATGAATTATGATAGGTAAGGACCAAGCACTAATGCAAAATGCCCTGCAAATCCAAGGTTGGCTTGGAGTGTTTTCTTTTCTTTCTTTTTTTTTTTTTTTTTGGCCCAGAGACAAAGAATTGCCGAAATATTGTGTGATAGGCTGGGAACAGTAGCTCATGCCTGTAATCCCAGCACTTTGGGAGGCCGAGGCGGGTGGATCACTTGAGGCCAGGAGTTCGAGACCAGCCTGGCCGACATGGCAAAGCTGTGTCTCTACTGAAAATACAAAAATTAGCTGGACGTGGTCATGCGTGCTTCTAATCCCAGCTACTTGGGAGGCTGAGGCAGGAGAATCACTTGAACTCGGGAGGCAGAGGTTTCAGTGAACCAAGATTGCCCCACCACATTCCAGCCTGGGTGACAGAGGGAGACCCTGTCTCAAAATAAATAAATAAATTATATATATATATATATATATATATATAGAGAGAGAGAGAGAGAGAGAGAGACTGAATATATAAAAAGAAAGGGTAAAATTACGTGGGAAGAAGAGAGAAAGAAAGTTAAGGAAAAGTCATTAGATTCTGTCTTCTCTAGCCTTACCTCCCTCACCCTCTGAAAGTGAGTTCTCTTTGTTTTCCAAGACCATCAAGTTTGTGTTTTTGAGCTGCCTTCTTTCATAGGTTATCACTGTGAGGCCTATAATAACCCTGCAGACTTCTTCTTGGACATCATTAATGGAGATTCCACTGCTGTGGCATTAAACAGAGAAGAAGACTTTAAAGGTATATGAATCTGTTACAGTCCCAGATTTTTGCCTAATTGAATTGGCTGAAGTTTAGCAATGTGGTGGCTAATTAAAATGTGGCTTTGTGAATTTCTGTTGATGCAGTCTTCTGATACCAGTCAACACAAATATTTTGTTGTCTGTGAGTGCTGTTGGTGTTTTTGATTAATTTATAAATGAGAATTTATATGGTGTTGTCAGTTCCAAGAGGAGTTAACATTTTAAAAAATGCTCAGTGTTTATATAGTGTTTTTAAAATAAGAAACTTGGCAATATATGCATTTGCATATAGTAGGAAGCAACAACCAGATTTTTTTTTTTTTTTTTGAGAAGGAATCTAGCTCTTGTCACCCAGGCTGGAGTGCAATGGTGCTATTTCGGCTCACTGACCCCTCCGCCTCCCAGGTTCAAGCCACTCTCCTGCCTCAGCTTACTGAGCAACTAGAATTACAAGCCTGTGCCACCAGGCCCGGCTAATTTTCGTATATTTAGTAGAGATGGAGTTTCACCATGTTGGCCAGGCTGGTTTCAAACTCCTGACCTCAAGTGATCCTCCCGCCTTGGCCTCCCAAAGTGTTGGGATTACAGGTGTGAGCCACCGCCCCTGGCCACGACCAGAATTTTATATTAAGAATTAGAACTATATGGTAAGAAGTCTATTTTAAAAGAATTAAGGTCAAATAGAAAACGTCAGTTTGTTTGCTATATTCATAAGACTATGGCAATAGACAGGCTATTTCTCTGTAGTTTTCTTTTTCTTTCTTTTTCTCTTTTTAAATATACATTTTAATTTATTACTTACTTTATTTATTTTTATAGAGACAGGGTCTCGTTTCGTTGCTCAGGCTGGTCTTGAATTCCTGGCCTCGCATGATCCTCCTGCCTCTGCCCTGCAAAATACTGGGATTACAGGAGTGAGCCACTGTGCCTGGCCTGTTATACTTTTCTAATGACAGAGCTAATAATTTTTTATTTCTATTTTTTCTTTTTTGAGATGGAGTCTTGCTCTCTTGCACAGGCTGGAGTGCAGTGGTGTGATCTCAGCTCACTGCAACCTCCACCTCCCTGGTTCAAGCGATTCTCTTGCCTCAGCCTCCTGAGTGGCTGGGATTACAGGCACGCACCACCACGCCAGGCTAATTTTTTTTGTATTTTCAGTAGAGACAGGGTTTCACCATGTTGGTCAGGCTGGTCTCGAACTCCTGACCTCGTAATCCACCCGCCTCAGCCTCCCAAAGTGCTGAGATTACAGTCATGAGCCGCCGTGCCTGGCCTATTTTTTCTTTCTAAAGCTTTAGAATGAAGGTGTTAGGGAAGCATCCAAGAAAGGGTTCACAGAAAAAATGGGCTAAATTTGTTGTTATCTTGTTTGTGTTTCCTTTTTATCCACTGATTGCAAAGCCACAGAGATCATAGAGCCTTCCAAGCAGGATAAGCCACTCATAGAAAAATTAGCGGAGATTTATGTCAACTCCTCCTTCTACAAAGAGACAAAAGCTGAATTACATCAACTTTCCGGGGGTGAGAAGAAGAAGAAGATCACAGTCTTCAAGGAGATCAGCTACACCACCTCCTTCTGTCATCAACTCAGATGGGTTTCCAAGCGTTCATTCAAAAACTTGCTGGGTAATCCCCAGGCCTCTATAGCTCAGGTAACCAGCAGATTCTTTTGAAATACTCAAATGGGAACAATGTGGTTCTGTTATCATCTGCTTCAGGATATGTTTATCTTCTACCCACCCTTCCAATTATTTGTTATCTTCACTCCACCTGGGATATAGAACCAGTCAGCAGAACAAATAAAGGACAATTAAGTTTTACTTTTGGAAAGCTTCCCTTTTTTTGAGACAGAGTCTCACTCTGTTGCCCAGGCTGGAGTGTGGTGGCATGAACTCAGCTCACTGCAGCCCTGACCTCCCTGGGCTCAAGTGATCCTCACACCTCAGCCTCTTGAATAGCTGAGACTACAGGCGTGTCCCACCACGTCCAGCTAATTTTTGTGTTTTGTGTAGAGATGGGGTTTCGCTGTGTTGCCCAGGCTGGTCTTGAACTCGTGGGTTCAAGCGATTCTCCTGCCTCAGTCTCCCAGAGTGCTAGGATTACAGGTGTGAGCCACCACATCTGGCCAGGTTCTTTTTTTTAGTGGTTTCTTAGACTACCTAACTCAGAATTTTTGTTGATTTAGACAAGCTGTAATGAATAATCTGAGTAGAAAAATTTTTTTTTTGGGAAATTGTGAAAGAAGTGTCAGCCAGTTTTGGGGTTTTCTGGTAGCTGTTCACTTTTGTTCACTGATTCATTCAACTTGTTCTTATAGGGCCTGTGCTGTGCTTTAGGGATGTGAATTCAGTAGTGAACAAAATGGGCAAAAATAAAACTCTGCTCATGGAGCTAATTTTTTGAGGAAGACAGTTATGATAAATAATAAAGAAATTAAATAGATAGCATGTTAGATGGTAGAAGAAACTATGGGGAAAGTTTAAGCAGAGAAGGGGTGGAGAAAGGGGAGGAAGAGAGAGAAGTAGGGAGAAGAAGGTTGATTTGCAGTTGGAATCAGGTGATCAGGGAAACCTTCACCTACTGTCACTGAATACACCTGAAAGGGAGTATGTGCTGGCCACTCCAAGGGAAGAGCCTGTGTGCAAAGTGCTGTTCCTTGTCATTTACCTTCCTTAGACAGTTTACAGGTGAAACAAATGTAGTAAGCAAATTTGAGTTCACAGAACAAGGCTATTCATTGTTAGATTAACTTTCTGTTAATCAAAATGAGATAATGTTTCTTTGTTCCTTGGTTGGCTCTGTGATAGTTGGTGATTATTACTCCTTGTGGTTTTTGTTATTCTTTTCTTTACACATTTTTTTTTTTTTAGAGACTGGGTCTCACTCTGTCACTCATACTGGAGTGCAGTGGTGCAATCATAGCTCACTGCAACCCCAAACTCTTGGCTCAAGCGATCCTCACACTTCAGCCTCCCGAGTAGCTGTGACTACAGCCGTGCACCACAACACCTGGCTGATTTTTTAATTTTTTGTAGAAACAGGGTCTCACTATGTTGTCCTGGTCTGGATCTCCTGGGCTCAAGCGATCCTCCTGCCTTGGCCTCCCAAAGTGCTGGGATCACAGGTGTGAGCCACCATGCCTGGCCTTTTCTGTTATTCTTAACCCCTCTGTCACCCAAAACATTAGTACTCCCAGTTCATTGGTCCATTCTTCAAAGAAGTCAATTTAGCTGGTTATTTTGGGGCTGTTATTTTTATTAACAATATTGAGTTTCTGTTGAGTACTAAAAGATGGCACATTGTTGGCTCTAGTAAAATATTACTGACGTTTAAACTTGTGCATCATAATTTCTATACTTAAGTATATATAAAATATATCTAAGAGCTTGTATCCCTAGTTAAGCCATACTGCTAATTATGTATATATATGTATATATGTATAGCCACATATATGTATGTATAGCCATACTGCTAGTTAAGTATATATATAAATTTATCTAAGAGCTTGTATCCCTAGTTGAACCATATTGCTAATTTCTCCAAATGTTTTTGGTACGTATAATTTGGTGTTTCTGTCAGAACACTGGCACTTTTATATACTATCAATTAAAGGCAAAATTTTATTCTTTGAGCATAGATTTGATATCATTTGGAAATCAGTCTGGTAGGATCAACCTGGGTTACTTATTGTCAACAGTGAAATAATGTAATGAATTGCTTTTTTAGTGTGATGTATGCATTAGATTTTTCTTACTTGGAAAATAACTTGAATTATCTTGCTTCAAAAAATGGTTTATAAATGTCTTGTCCAAATCGCCTATGTGGCAATACTGGAGAGGGCATAATTAGAACACAGAGCTGTTTTTCACACACTGAGATTCTGCATGTTTTGATACTGGGCTTCCTTCCAATGCTAACACCTGGCCTAGTGCCTCTAGGTTTAGCTTCCCTGCCTCATCAGTGAACTCACTTTCACAAAAGGAATTCCAGCCATGTTCAGAGCAGTGGCAGTCTCTTAGATTAAGAATAGGACCTTGTATCTCCCTGAGCATCTGCTTAGCAGGACAAGTTTTGTTTCGATTTGTGAAAAACTGGAATATTAGCTTAGGGCAGGAGTAGGCAATATATATTTTTTTTTTTTGTAAAGGATCAGGTAGTAAATATTTTAGGCTTTGCAGATCAGGTGGTGTTTGTCTCAGGTAGTCAGCTCTACCGTTTTAGTGTGAAAGCAGCCAAGCTCATAACATGAATAAATGAACATGGCAGTATTCCAATAATAAACGAAAGGCTGGCTAGATGCAGTGGTTCCTGCCTATAACCCCAGCACTTTGGGAGACCAAGGCAGAAGGATGCTTGAGGCCAAGAGTGTGAGAACAGCTTGGGCAATAAAGCAAGACCCCCTTTTTTTTTCTGAGACAGAGTCATGCTCTGTCGCCCAGGCTGGAGTGCAGTGGTGCTGTGTCGGCTCACTGTAACCTCCGCCTCCCGGGTTCAAGCAATTCTCCTGCCTCAGCCTCCCGAGTAGCTGGGACTACGGGTGCCCGCCACCATGCCCAGCTAATTTTTGTATTTTTAGTATAGACAGGGTCGCACCATGTTGGCCAGGCTGGCTTCGAACTCCTGACCTCAGGTGGGTCCACCCGCTTCAGTCCCCCACAGTGCTGGGATTACAGATGTGAGCCACTGTGCCTGGCCAAGACCCTATCTTAAAAAAAAAGGTAACTTTCATTTTATTCCAATGAAACATTATACATTGGCACTGAAATTTGAATTTTATATAAATTTTATATTGTGAGAAATATTATTATTCTTGACTTTTTATTCAATGATAAATAAAATGAGCTAAGTGTGGTGGTGCATGTCTGTAGTCCTAACTACTCAAAAGGCTGAGGTGGGAGGATTGCTTGAGACCAGAAGTTTGAGGCTGCAGTGAACTATGATTACACCACTGCACTCCAGCCTGAGTGACAGAGTGAGACTTTGTCTCTAAAAAATAATAAAAAATAAAGTAAAAAACCATTCTTAGCTCATAGGTGAACAAAGATAGGTGGCTGGCCCTATTTGACCTGTGGGCTATAGCTTAATGATTCCTGATTCAGGGTTTATGATTTTGTATGTTGTTTTAATTCTGAGTTCTTGAAAATTGAGTTGTTAAAATGTTTTATGACTCTCTACTGATAAATCTTGAATCTGTTGCTTTACAGCTGCACTTTGGCTTGAACTAGTTATTTCTTTACATGATTCAAACTTGGCCTCTGATAATGCATCTTCCAAAGGTTGTATTTGGAAAATCTTAGAATGAATGGATTATCTGTATGAGAAGATTGCATGTTCATTTAAGGTGCCAAGGGTTTTCTGAACAGCTCAACTTGGAAGCAGATGGGGTCTGTGCACTCCATTGTGCACTGTTTAGTTTGCCTGTTTGTTTTCCTTTCTTTAATGCCAGAAAGAATAACACAGACACACCTTATAAAAGCATGCCAAGGTTACGGGATTGATTATTTTGTCAATATGTTTGAAAGCTGACTTTGAAAACATTTTTAGAACTTTGAAACTTTTAGGAAACATCTTAATCATAATACTCAGTGTTAGTATAAGATAACAAGTTTGAATGAAAACTTGACAAAGCATTTGGAATGTTTAGTTTGAAAAGTCTGGGCCGGGCATGGTGGCTCATGCATGTAATCCCAGTGCTTTGGGAGGCCAAGGCGGGCAGATCATGAGGTCAGGAGTTCGAGACCAGCCTGGCCAACATAGTGAAACCCTGTGTCTACTAAAAGTACAAAAAATTAGCTGGGCTTGGTGGTGGGCGCATGTAATCCCAGTTGCTTGGGAGGCTGAGGCAGGAGAGTTGCTTGAACCTGGGAGCTGGAGGTTACAGTGAGCCGAGATCGCGCCATTGCACTCCAGCCAGGGCAACAGTGCGAGACTGTCTCAAAAAAAAAAAAAAAAATCCTGAATTGAATATTCTTAAAAGTTTTACTGTGTGAAAACGTAGACTCTTGTATGCACATTCATGCATGCCTGTTGATACAGTCATCTGCATTTATTTTGGAAGCTTGGTCTGTTGAAGTATATTCTGAGGGTAATGAAAATATGCCAGCATAATGGATTTCCCCCCAAAATTTCTAAGTGAATTTTAAAAGACAGCTCATAAGTAGAAACATTGGAATAATGTTCTTTCCAGACTAGGTTCTTCACAAACTAGTTATCACAGATGATGGTACTGTTTTTGCAGTTCGGTTTGCTTCATGCCAAAAGTGTCCTTGATCAGTTACTTTAAATCTTGATACCATTAGACTGTTGCAGTATTGAGATTTTGTTTTTTTAACTTTGAAGATTCCAAGATATGGTAGGATATTTTGTCTTCTTTAGATTACCATTTCTTATTTTTTTATTCTTATTTATTTATCAATTTATTTTTTGAGACAGTATCGCTCTGTCGCCCAGGCTGGAGTGCAGTGGTATGATCTTGGCTCGCTGCAACCTCCACCTCTAGGGTTCAAGTGATTCTTGTGCCTCAGCCTCCCGAGTAGCTGGGACTACAGGCGTACACCACCATGCCTGGCTAATTTTTTTGTGTGTGTTTTTTTTTAGTAGAGACGGAGTCTCACCATGTTGCCCAGGCTGGTCTCAAACTCCTGAGTTCAGGCAATCTGCCCCCTCGGCCTCCCAAATTGCTGATATTACAGGCATGAGCCACCACGCCCAGCCCATTTCTTGTTTTTTAATATTTAACTCACGAGTAAATATAAATAGGATTTTCTCAGATAAATTATATCATAACGTAACCCTTAAATTAACCCTTTGCTTATTGAAGTGTCCTTAAGAGACCCTTTATCCTAGAAACAAGATTGGTGTTTGTCCAGTCTCCTTAGGAGCTATAGAAATCAATTGAGTGGTGAAGATAGGTGAGAACAGCAAAGAATTGGCAGCTTAGGTCTGCAGCATTGGCTATAGGCCTCACTGGCTGAAGCGATGAGGAAGCAGTGACAGGAGATGGGTAGTGGAAGCATGCAGTGTGTGCACAGAGAAAGCCGGCCAAATGCTTTGGTGACAGTGACAATGCACTTTTCCAGTGCAGGCATGGACTCCCTAGAGGTTGGATAGGCAGGCTCCATCTCACCCCTATTTCCTCACTGTGCAAAATTCCATTGTTAGAATTTTTTTAATGTGTGCTTTAAAATTTTTATTTATTTTTAATGTTAAGAATAAAGATATCCTGTTTTCACTTTAACCTCTTGAAATATAAAATGACTCATGTTCATTGGCACAAAGGTTGAGAGTTCAGTTCAGGGTCAAAACTCTTAGGCACTTGGACTTTGCTTTGCTACATACTTGCATTGCTCTGCTATCCTGTGTGGTATTCACAAGCTCAGTAACCTGAAGCAGACCCTGAACTGACTGCTGGGTGGTGCAATGGGAGGAAGTCCAGCTTTTCCAGCAGTGTGCTTTGTGTCCTACCACTCTCCCCAAAGCACAGATAACTTAATTTTTAACTTAGGAAGCAGTCTAAATAATGTATGCTGTTTTATTTTCTCCCAGGGACGTTGGCCAAGCCATTGAGTGTTTATCTTAATGGAGAGATCTGATTATGTAACCATATATTATACTAATAAATGGTGTGTATAAGTTTTTATCTCTAATTGAAACTCTTCCCCTTTTTTTGCATTTTTCTTTTTGAAAAGATCATTGTCACAGTCGTACTGGGACTGGTTATAGGTGCCATTTACTTTGGGCTAAAAAATGATTCTACTGGAATCCAGAACAGGTAAGTAAATTTGGATCTTGATTTTCAGAAAATGCTGTTACTTTCTTCAAGCTTATTGAAATCCATTAAGAATTTGAATTTAAGACAAGTATAGTGTAAATGTCATTCTTTTATTGAGGGTAGGATGAGTCAGTTTATTTTTGAGACAGAGTCATGCTCTGTTGCCCAGGCTGGAGTGCAGTGACGCGATCTCAGCTCACTGCAATCTCCGCCTCCCGGGTTCAAGCAATTCTCCTGCCTCAGCTTCCCAAGTAGCCTCGACTACAGACATCCACCACCACGCCCAGCTAATTTTTGTATTTTTAGTAGAGACGGGGTCGCACCATGTTGGCTAGACTGGCTTCGAACTCCTGACCTCAGGTGGGTCCACCCACCTTGGCCTCCCAAAGTGCTGGGATTACAGGCGTGAGCCACTCCACCTGGCCCAATTATTTTTAAATGTACAGTTCAGTGGCATTAAGTACATTTACATTGTTATGCAACTATCACCACCATCCAACTCTAGAATTCTTTTTGTCTTCTCAAGTGGAATATCTGTACCCATTAAGCAATAACTTCCCATCTCATATCTGCCTCTCCTAACCCCTGGCAGCAATCATTCTACTTTCTGTCTCTGAACTTGACTACTCTAAGACCCTCATATAAGTGGAATCATACAGTAGATATTCTTTGGTAACTGACTCATTTCCTTTAGCATGTTGTCTTTATGGCTCATTCATGTAGCATGTGTCAGATTTCTTTCCGTTGTAAGGTTGAATAATATTCCATTGTATGTACATACCACATTTCGTTTTTCCATTCATCTATAGATGGAAACTTGGGTTGCTTTCACCTTTTGGCTGTTGTAAACAGTGCTCCCTAGGTGTACAAATATCTCTTTCAGCCAGGTGTGGTGGCATGTGTCTGTAGTCCCAGCTACTCGGGAGGCTGAGGTGGGAGGATTGCTTGAGCCCAGGAGTTCTAGGTTGCAGTGAGCTATGATTGCACTACTGCAGTCCAGCCTGGGTGACAGAGTTCGACCCTGTCTCTTAAAAAAACAAACAAAAAAAACCCTATTTTAGTTCCTGCTTTCAATTCTTCGGATATATACCCAGAATTAGAATTTCTGGGTCATATAGTAATTCTGTTAATTTTTTTGAGGAACTACTATACCGTCTTCCACAGTGGCCGTACCATTTTACATTCTTACCAGCAGTGCACAAGGGTTCCAGTTTCTCCATATCCTTACCAACACTTTTCTTTTTCTCCCTTTTAAATAGTAGAGATCCATTGGATCTTTGGAGAAATGTCTATTCAAGTCCTTTGCCCATTTTAAAATTGAATTGTTTGTTTTTTTGTTGTTGAGTTGTAGGAGTGCTTTATATTTTTGAGGAGATATTAATCCCTTATCAGATACATAATTTGCAAATATTTTTCCCCACTCTGTGGGTTGTCTTTTCAGTATTGATAGTGTCCTTTGATGCATAAACATTTTTAACTTTGATGTAGTCCAATTGATCAATTTCTTCTTTTGTTGCCTGTGAGCTAATTTCTGTCACTTTTTAAATATATATGTTTGACTTAGGGGTGTGATGGGGGTGGGACTCAGCTTTTCCTGTTATATGGTTAGCACTTTTGTTAGTGTTGTGATCCTTACCTAGTTTCAGTCACAGTGGACCCTTAAAAACCTCATTTTATGAGGGGACTTTTTATCGACTGTATTGTGTTCTGAACATAAGCACTCAGGAATTTCACAGCCCTCAGAGTTCTGGTTATTTCATGTATGGAGAACACTTGTGGCAGATACTGTGCTCCGTAGTGCTTGCTGTCCATAGTCTCAGGTTACCACCCAGTGATTTAGAGGGGGTAGATGGTAGTATCCCCATTTTACTATTGAGGAAAGTTGAAGACGCTTATGTGCAGCCTATTTTGATGTCTGGAAAGGCTGATTATTTTTTAAAGAATAAGCATAAAAGTTGGTTCCTCACTCAAGTAAAATAAATTCTTTTGTATGGAATCAGATAGTGTTACTCTACGATGAGAGTGTTATTAAACAGCAGTTTACCAGAGTGATGTCATTGTTGTTTTTACTTTCCCTGAGGGCTGAGGTATCTGGATTATTTCCAGACTTGCTAGTAATTGATGGTTTGTGTGCTGTGTAGATGCCATGTCTTAACCCAGCACAGAATATATCACAGGATCTAAAGGCAGTGGGCCTTTTATATTGTGCAGCAGGAAGCATTTGGAGAGGACATGGAGTAACCTGGTCCTCAACTGGAACTTTGAAGAGGACTGGAAATCTGGCCATTAAAGCTCTTGGTAGAAAAATCCAGAGAAATAAAGAAGAACTTTAGGTGTTTCTTCAGATGTTTTCTGGAGAAATAGGGCATTAATCTTATTTTAATTTGTTTGTTTTTGAAACAGAATCTCACAATATTGCCCAGGCTGGTGTGCAGTAGTGCAGTCATAGCTCACTGCAGCTTTGAACTCCTGGGCTCATAATTTGTATTTGTGACTTAAGCTTGCTATCTTTTTTTTTTCCCCCAAAGCTCTAGGGTACATGTGCAGGATGTGCAGGTTTGCTACATAGTTAAACGTGTGCCATGGTGGTTTGCTACACCTATCAATCCATCACTTTGGTGTTAAGCCCAGTATGCATTAGCTATTTTTCCTGATGTTCTTCCTCCCACTGCTTCTCGTTGACCCCAGTATCATTTTTTAAATAAGCATTTGGACTATGTTAAAGTGGCCTGTGTATATGATTTAATCCCTCCTGGGATGATTAGTGATTTATTGATGAGGAAAAAATGTTTCAGCATCATCTCTGGAAACAGGTTCTCAAAGTTTTGTTCAGGGGTGAATATTAGTACTTCATAATTTAAAACTGCTCGAGGCCAGTGGTTTAGTTCTCTTCTTTGGGGATGAATTCTCTGAGAGAGGAAAGCACTCTCTGCTCTTTCTCTAACCCGTGTAACTGAGAAACTGGGTTTTAATCATATGTAGAGTATAAGCATCTTTGAATTAATAGCTACCTCTGGAATAACTGCTTTACAGAGTTGTGGTGATAGCTAAACAAATTAGTGTGTATTAAGGGAAAAGGTATACTTTAAAAACAGTATTCAGATCCAGTCATCTCACTTCTAGATATTTACCCCAAAGATGTGAAATCAGTTTATTGAAGAAATTTCTGCACCCTCATATTTATTGCAGCATTGTTCACAATAGCCAAGATACGGAATCACCCGAAGGGTCTGATTTGATAAAGAAAATGTGGTATATATACACAGTGGAAAAACAAAAGAAATTTTGTCATTTGCAACAACATGGATGTAATTGGAGAATATTATGCCAAGTGAAATAAGCCAAACGCAGAAAGCTAAGCACAGAAATGTCACATAATCTCACTTAATGTGGAATCTGAAACAATGGAACTGAAAGAGACAGTAGAATGGTGGTTGCCAGAGGCTAGAGGTGTGTGGGGAATGGAGAGATGATGGTCAAAGGGTACAAAACCTCAGTTACACAGGAGGAATAAGGATTTTTCTTTGGAGATACATTGCACAATGTGGTGAACACAGTAAATAATAATGTAAATTTCAGAATTGCTAAAATTTAAGATACTTTTACCACAAAAAATAAATGTTTGAGACGATGGATGTGTTAATTAGCTTGATTTAATTATTTCACACTTATGATTCATGAATTATATAACTTGGTACCCCACAAATATATACAACCATAATATGCCAATTTATAATTTAAAAAATCAAAATAAAAAATATTCAGACCAATAAGTAGATATAACAGATGTGGATTACCACCTTGAAAGAATTAGAATGAATTAACTTCCTTAATAAGAAAAAACTGTGTTTAAAATAAATCATCTTAGTATTTAGAAGGAACGTTTCCATTGTCTACTTTTTCAGAATCATTATGGACATTACTGTACTGATAGATTTAAGACAACAAATTGAATTGAATCTTTGCTATGTTCCATGTTCTGAAATTAGCTTTTTACTTGATATTAGGTTTATTTGTGTACAGAAAGTGAGATAACTGCATGTCTACCAGGCCTGGCTATTTTTCACTCATTTTAATTATATGTACATACTTTTAAAACTGCTCTGGCTGGGCACCGTGGCTTACATTTGTAACTGCAGCACTTTGGGAGGCCAAGCTGGGAGGATTGCTTGAGGCCAGGAGTTCAACTCAGTTGCAGTGAGTTTATGATCATGCCACTATACTCTAGCCTGGGTGACCGAGGGCAGCTCTGTCTCTAAAAATAAAATAAAACAAAAAAGACCCTAGCCTGTTCCCTTAGATCTTTGTTCTTTAGGTATCTATGGACTCTTTTTTTTCTTTTAATGTAATTGTGTTGTTCACTTGGGTTTGCATTTTTTAAAATGTTCTCTTGTTTTTACGCCATTTAAATGATGTGTCACTTACCTCTTTTTCAGTTTCAACTCACACCCTTACTGTCAATTATATTGTTTTGTTATGGTGTTTCAGGGATGTTGGCATGCTTTCATAAAATGCATATTTGTATCAAAGTGTAGATTAACTTAGCATTTTCCTTTTTATTTATTTATTTTTTAATTTTTTTTTTTTTGAGACAGTGTCTCGCTCTGTCACCCAGGCTGGAGTGCAGTGGCGCGATCTCAGCTCACTGCAACCTCCACGTCCCAGGTTCAAGCGATTCTCCTGCCTCAGCCTCCTGAGTAGCTGGGACTACAGGCACCTGCCACCACGCCCAGCTAATTTTTGTATTTTTAGTAGAGACAGGGTTTCACCATGTTGGTTAGGCTGGTCTTGAACTCCTGACCTCATGATCCTCCCGACCCGGCCTCCCATAGTGCCGAGATTACAGGCATGAGCCACTGCACCCGGCCAACATTTTCCTTTTTAAATCTAGTTACTTCACTGAGAAACAAGCACTAATAGTGTTCCTTTTCATTACGATACACAAATTAGATTTTTCTTTATCAGTAAGTGTCACTTGGTTTCCTCTGAGCACTCTGGAAACCTCATAGAGGGCTGGCTGTCTTAGCGTGGTCAAGGATAATGTCACGGCCCTGCTGATGGTAGTGTGGTGCATGTAGATTATGCATATAATAAGGGGTTGATTGAAGGTTCCCTTCACTGTCTTTCATTTTGCTTCCACATGACTTACATTCTTTGTTCAACTTTAAAATCAAAGTGGCTAATTGAATTTCTTAATCTTTACAGACTTTATTTAGCTTACCACTTTTCTGTTTGTACATTAGGAATGGTACTTGGCATTTTTGTTAGTTAAAATTATGTATTGGCCTGGCTGCCATACCAAAATACCATAGAGCAAGTGGCTTAAACAACAGAAATGTATTTTCTCTCAGTTCTAGTCTGAAAGTCTGAGATCAGGATGCCAGCATTGCTGGGTTCTGGTGAGGGCCCTCTACCTGGCTTGCAGACTTGCCTCCTTGCTGTTCCTTGTGTGGCAGAGCAAGAGCTCTGGTGTCTCTTCCTATTAGGACGCTCTTCCCATTACACTCTCCCCACCTCCCTATCCTGTAACCTCATCTGAACCTAATTACCTTCCAAAGGGCCCATCTTCAAATACCATCACATTGGGGGTTGGGGCTTCAACATATGAATTTTGGTGGGGGGAGACGCAATTCATTCCACAACAATCCAAGACTGTGAGTTTCAAAATGAGTACCACTGTGGAGACATAAGAGATGGGGAGAGGCTTGATGGGGTTCACGCTTCCCTGTTCCAACCAGAACAGTTTCCCTTTTTTTCCTGCTTAACTTTATACACTGTCATTTGTGGAAAGAGTTTTGTGGGTAGAAAATCTGTCTAAGAATGCTGAGTTGACTGCGGTGATTTGGTTCCCCTTTTCATGGCAGAGCTGGGGTTCTCTTCTTCCTGACGACCAACCAGTGTTTCAGCAGTGTTTCAGCCGTGGAACTCTTTGTGGTAGAGAAGAAGCTCTTCATGTGAGTAGGTCTTTGTTCTGGGAACGGGGCTGTCCAGCAGCAGGGGCTATTGGTTAGACTGATTACATCTGGGGTTGGGGCCAAGGATGGGATCCGGAGGATTACCAGTACTTTTTAAAATTTATTTTTAAATTGATGAATAAAAATTGTATATATTGATCATATACAACATGATGTTTTGAAAATATGTATAGGGGTTACCAATATTCATTGAGAAAAAGCAGCCAGAGGTAGGGAAGAAAATCCTGAGCCTTTGGGACCTGATATCCAGAGAAAAGAGTTTTTCTAGATTTGAGTACAGTCAGAAAATCCAAATGTTGGAGAGAGCAAGCAATAAAGGGACTGAAAAGTATATTTTGTTTTTAGTAAATACTGATGACCTTCACAAGAAAAGTTTGAGGGGCTTGGTAGAGATTAAGCAGCAACTTGGAAGTGGGGAGATTAAGTCGACAAAGAACGTGACCATGCTTAGCCCTCGGTGGACCAGGGAAGTGGCACGAGCCGGAAGGCATTCTTACAGTAAAGAGCAGCCTGGTTTAATTTATTGTATTTTCCTATTTATTTATTTATTTATTTTTTGGAGACAGGGTCTTGCTTTGTCGCCCAGGCTGGAGTCCAGAGACATGATCATGGCTCATTGCTGCCTTGACCTGCGGGGCTTACGCAGTCCTCCCATCTCGGCCTCCTGAGTAACTGGCATGCCTAGCTTTTTTTTTTTTTTTTGACATAGAGTCTCGCTCGCTCTGTCTCCCAGGCTGGAGTGCAATGGTGCAATCTTGGCTCACTGCAATCTCTACCTCCCGGGTTCAAGCGATTCTCCTCCCTCAGCCTCCCAAGTAGCTGGGATTACAGGTGCCCGCCACCACACCCAGCTAATTTTTTTGGTATTTTTAGTAGAGATGGGGTTTCGCCATGTTGGCCAGGCTGGTCTCAAACTCCTGACCTCAGGTGATCCACCCCCTTTGGCCGCCCAAAGCACTGGGATTACAGGCGTGAGCCACTGCACCGGGGCGCCTGGCTGTTTTTTTTTTTTTTTTTAATTTTTTTGTAGAGAGAAGGTCTCACTATGTTTCCCAGGCTGGGTATTTTTCAAGGATGGATCACATTTTCCCAAATGTACATGTCACATATAGGAATTATTAGAAAGGGAAATAATGAAGGAAGTGGAAGAGTTTGGAATTGTGGGAGAAAGATGTCAGGAAGAGGAAAGATTACAATTTGGTAGTTGACAGGGATGTATGGCTGGAAGACATGATCATTGAAAGAAGAAGTCTTTTTCTTTTTTTAACTTGGGAGTAGAAGAAGTAAGAAGAGCTTAGTCATCTGAAGCTGCACTAGGGGGCTTGGAGAATAACAGGCCACCTTCCTCATCAGAAATAGGGAAAAAGAAAAGCTTCTATTCCTGCCAAAATCGGCTACTGAAGTGCTGTTCTTCAAGGAAAGCCCCCGTCAAAGAAGGAAAAGAAGCATTCTTTGAAGAGAGGGAGGATGTGTGGAATCTGTTTCCCTGGACTGAGTGTTCAGGAGCTAGAAAGAGCAGCAATAGGAGGGAACAGTGTCATGAGAAGAGGGGCTGTGCGCAGAGCTTCATGGGATGCTTTCTCAGGGAGGCTGGCACCCAAGGTATTCATGGGCATGCATAGTGGGTCTAGCCCTGAGGATGTGGGAAGCTGGCTTGTTCAACCCCTGCTGTCAGCAGAGGTCTGTAACAGACAAGTCTAGCCTGCCCTGTGGCTTCTTAAACTAATCTTGGATGTATGATACGTATTTTTGTTCTATAGACATGAATACATCAGCGGATACTACAGAGTGTCATCTTATTTCCTTGGAAAACTGTTATCTGATTTATTACCCATGAGGATGTTACCAAGTATTATATTTACCTGTATAGTGTACTTCATGTTAGGTAAGTATGTAACAAAACAAAAAAGGACATGTCTTTAGTCTTGCCTATGGGTGAAGTCAGTTGCACCTTGCAAGCATATTTTTGGTTCTCAAAACTATAAACCAAACCATGAGATAAGGAAACACCTGTCCATTTTGCACTCTCTGAAACAGTTGTTCACTGTCAGCTATTTTTGTCAAGACTGTTTCCCAACTGAACTTTTTTGTTTGTTTGCTTTGTTTCGCTTTTTTGAGACAGGGTCTTGCTCTGTCACCCAGGCTGGAGTGCAGTGGTGATCATATCTCACTGCAGCCTCAACCTCCTGGGCTCCAGTGATCCTCCTACCTCAGCCTCTGGGTAGCTAGGACTACCGGCACACAGAAAGATGGAGTTTTTGGTAAAGATTGGGTCTCACTGTGTTGCCCATGCTGGTCTTATACTCCTGGCCTCAAGTAGTCCTCCTACCTCAGCCTCCCAAAGTGCTGGGATTATAGGAATGAGCGGATGTGCCCAGCCTGAACTTTTAAAACCACTTATAAAACTACACTTTACTGAGAGATGCTTGTGTTATACACAAACATGGAAAGAATTTATAAAACTTTGAGACTATGCTGGAGAAGCTGGGATATTTATAGCCTATCTATGTTTTCTATCTGTCTATCTATCTATCTATCTATCTATCTATCTATCTATCTATCTCTCCCTGTCTCTCTCTATATATGTATATATATATACACACACACACTTAGAGATATATAGAATGATTAAATATATTTAATCTCTTAGAGATACATAAAATGATTAAATATATATATATGTATTTATTTAATATATATTACCCATCCCTGCTTCTTTAATGAGAGAAAGACGGTGCCTTTTGGGGCTTGTTAATTAAAAAAAAAATACTTGTTTGGTAGATGTGGAGACTCATTTGTGCATTATGCTCAGGCTTCACTCCAGGCTCCTTGCATCTGATTTCCATATATTTCACTGATAAACACATGCACACACACAAAACCCCCGGAAATATCTATTTTGACACTACAAGATAAGAACTACCGATTGAGTTTAAACCTTCCATTTGACAAATAATAGGTGTGTCCTAAACAATCAGGGTTAGGATCTAGATCTCCAGACTCCTGATTGTTGTTCTTGTGGCTGTTTCAAATCTTCAGATTGTATTACCTGTAGTATTAGCTCACTACAGTTTAGAAAGCAGTTTATGAAACGTAATTTAGTCTCATTTCAATCCAGAGTGATGTGGTGATCTGTCTGGGGAGGCTTGGGTTATGGAGGCCCCCTCCCCCTCCCCCAGATACTACAACCACTGTGAGGTCATGGCATCCCGATCGTCCCAGTCCCTTCACTCACAAAGTTACAGCACACAATGAGTAATGTGAGGATGTATGGGCAAATGAATGTGCTATTGATGAGTTTCCTGTGAAAAGAGAAGGCAGTTGAATTTTGGTTAGTTGTACTGCCTGTAGCTCTTCATCTCAGGAACTCAGAAATTGTCTGTAATTATACATAATGGCACATAAGTGTTATAAGAGAACTTTATGCAGTTACATGGACAGACACAACATTGGAGACCGAGGGTGGTTGGAGAGTGGATGACTTTTTTTCATTCTAATATTAGTTTCTCAAAATATTAGTGTTAAATTTGCACAATAAGCAATCCCAAACATACGGTGACCTAGGCAGTTGGGTTAACTACTTCTTCTCTTTCTGACTAAGGATTGAAGCCAAAGGCAGATGCCTTCTTCGTTATGATGTTTACCCTTATGATGGTGGCTTATTCAGCCAGTTCCATGGCACTGGCCATAGCAGCAGGTCAGAGTGTGGTTTCTGTAGCAACACTTCTCATGACCATCTGTTTTGTGTTTATGATGGTGAGTCTGAACTGTGTTTGCTCTGATAAGGAATTGTTTTTTTCCTTCATTTCTTCCTGCACATTCACTTGTCATGTAAAACCTGTTTTGAGGATTCTGTAAATGGGGCTCTGCTTTACTTAAGGCCATCTACTGGAATAGATTATGTTAGAGAATATACTAACTTTCCTCTTTGCCCTTATCCAACCTTTTTTGCTACTGTTCTAATGAAGTTCCAATAATTTTAGTTAATATTGTTACTAATGAGCTTTTAAAAGGCGTTTCTTTGTGACCTATTATGAAACCTTAATAAATTGGAATTTCAAAAATCAGAAGACATTTGATCGGCAGATTCTCTTGAGAATTACAGATTATTTGCCCGACTTTCATGCTGGCATTAGAGAACTGCTAGTTTATTTTTTTTTTAACATTTTTAATTTATGTTTTAAAGTTCCCACATACAGCATTGAACTGCTAGCTTGTTTACCCACCAGCAGAGATAGTTTGGTTGGATTTATAATACTGTTTTCCAAGACACATATTAAGCCTCATAAGAAGCAGAACAGAGTATGGTTTGAGTAGTCTATTTTGGTTCCCTCTCGTATTTTGAAAAAGAGTGTTTTAAAAATATTGGAAAATTGCAGAGTTCACACACTACTAAGTACCTCCTTTCTGGGTTTCGTTCCTGACATTCAATATGTTTCTGCTTATCTTTTTTTTTTTAATGGTTACTTAATCCTAATCTTACATGCCCCTAAATTTTGCACATAGAGGAATCAACAGGTGAATGAAACCAGTTACATTTTTTTCCCCTTCAACATCATACTTGACAGGAACATGTCCTGTCTGCTAGAGTAGGAGTAGATGCCTTTAAATAAAAATAATTAGCACAAACTCTTGCCATAGTTTAATTCTTCCATTTCTGGATTTGAAAACTACCAATGCAAACATTAATGAGGAAGTGATAGGCTTGTTTATATTTCCCATACTGTCATCCAGCAAATACAAATGTTTTGTTTGATTTATTATTATTTAAAGATTTCTACACAGAACATTAAAAACTAGTCATAAAACTGTATTTTACTCAGAGATGCTGTGTTATATGCTAAGCACTTGGTCAGGTCAAGTCTGAATATATATTGTCATACCAGCAACATCATCATTGTTATGCATATACCAGTATGCTTGTGGTGGCAATTAGTTCTCTTGTCAATCTTCAGCAGGTCTTCCTGGCATCTCCATTGCGCTATTGCTTTTTGGCAGCTTTAAATGATAGCACTGATCCTGCTTATGCTCTACCTCTCACTACATTATACTCTGTATCAGTTCTAGACTTTGGGTTATGTTAAGCCTGCATTCAGAACCTCATATCCTTGCTAAAGTCATATGGATATAGACTGCAAACCTTTGTAAATAACAAATCTTATGTGAGGTGCAGTGGGCATGTGACGCTCAGGATTTATCTGGTATAGATTCTTCCAATGCCAGGTGTATTGGTGAGCACACATAGTGGTTGTGTCATTAGAATAGTCAGTGCTTCTTGACCTTCCATTATTTGCAGTTACAAATAAAGTTGAGTACATAGTCTTGACAATTGAGGATCTTACGATTAAATGGAATATCTAATATGTATTAGATATTTTGTTCTTCCTTTAAAACCGTAAATGACTTCAGCTATATAGAGATGTGCACATGCAGAGGAGAAGAGTTTAGTGAGTGTCTTGAGTAAGTGGAGAGAACTTCAAGAAAGAGTTGGTTTTAAAAGAAATACTTACAAAGTGGTAGGGACTTGAAGAGGGTATTCTCTAGAATTCTGCATGAAATTACTCAAGCAGGCCTGACTTTTAGTATTTGCTTTTTGTAGATTTTTTCAGGTCTGTTGGTCAATCTCACAACCATTGCATCTTGGCTGTCATGGCTTCAGTACTTCAGCATTCCACGATATGGATTTACGGTATGTCTTCCTTGTCTGTCACTGTGACTGCATTCCCAAGCTAGGAACAATGGAAATCAAGTGTCCTCATCTCATTTCCCTGACCATGAGCTGTGAAAGTCTCCCATCCAGAAACTCCCTTTTAGGAGCAAGGAATGAGAATTTCCTGTTAGCCTTGGTTAACACAAGGCTGGGGAGTCATTTGCTATTTTCCTCAGTCATCCTTTAAAGGGCTAGGGGAGATACCTCCTAGTAAAGGAGAAAGATTGGCTAATTGATGAAAAACACATTGTTGCATTTCAGTTCAATAAGGAAGTAAATGAGAGGATGGGACACTAGAATACATATGTTTATAATGAAAGGAAAATTAGAAGAGCAAAGACCATATAATAAGCATAGTCATATTGGCTTTTGCAAGCTCATTAACTCCAAAGTAAACTATCTGTGTCTTAATATAGTATAACCAAGCTTCTAACATCCAAGAATTACAACTGGTTCTAATGAAAACAAACAAGAACGAAAGATTGTCACTGTAAATTAACAATACTCATTGAGCACCACTGTATCATTTTAATTAGAATGTTTATGGAGTTACAAAATTGGGGAGAGAAGGAGGAAGGAGCTATGGTGTAGTATAGCCAGAGGTCTCCCGCTTTGGCAAAATACTTTACTTCTTTTGTATTGGAAGCCAAAATCCCAACCCTAGGTTTCTTGATTGCCAGGGAAAATAACATTAGTTGGTTTGGTGAGACAAAGACTGTGAATATGTTTTTAGAAATAACAATAAAGATTAAACTCAGAGGGCATGATTGTGATAACTCTTTGGAAACTTCTTGAAATTTAAAACTGTTTACCTTGCCCTGCTCCCACTTGTGTTATAGGCTTTGCAGCATAATGAATTTTTGGGACAAAACTTCTGCCCAGGACTCAATGCAACAGGAAACAATCCTTGTAACTATGCAACGTAAGTTTTTGTTCAGTGTCAAAATGGGTTTTGTTACTACCATGGTGTGATGTATAAAGGCTACTGGGCTTAGATCTGTATGAGTCCTTCCAGGGGCACTGAATTTTTCCGAGCCTACGTTTTCTCATCCATAAAGTGAGTTGTGCGCGAATGCATGTGAACATGTGGCACAACCCCTCAGTATTCTGCTGCAGTAAAAATTGTCTTTAACATGCAGCAATGTTTCTTACGTTTGTTTCTTATTGTTTTGGGCCTTTTAAAAGATCCTTTTGATATTTTGATTGTGGGTTTGAATTCTTGGTTTTCAGAGCATTTGAGATTGAAGTGAGGTGCTTTGATATTTTATCAAGGGCTTATGGTTCCTGAACTGTATGGATTATATGAAATCTATGGGTCCCTGAACTCACGGATACTTCTGAGCCCAACCCACGGACAGTAGTAAGAATGAAATAGGCAGCAATAGCACAAAGAAAGTAAACATTTCCCTGCCAAGATCCTGGCACTTCCACTGCCTCATGCATTTGGAAGACATCATGAAATCAAAGGCCGCATAGTCATGTGTTGTTGTTTTTAAATTAACTTGGAATACTCCCTATCAATCGATTTATCCTCTAAAAAAACAAGAAACACTTGAATAAGTTGAGAAAAAAACCCCGTTTTCACATAATGTTAAAACAGATTCTAATAACACTGGATAATATTGTTTTAAGAATTTAGTAACACGTGCCTTTTCTATGATTGCTAATGGTTTGATTTTGATACATAAATTAATGAGAGAAAAGAGAATGTTGATATTATCCTCAATCTCCTGAATGTTCAAGTAGAATATAAATAATTCTGAATAACAGGACAAATTACTCTTTTGAATTGTCCACAGGAAATCCTCTGTACAGAGAGGTTTTCTTTATTCTGTCCCTCTCTTTTGGCTTGATCAGGGTGGTCAGGATGAAGTGGATGGGAAAAATGGGACCAGATAAGGAGGAACCACCATGGGCTTCATGGTAACGGAAGATGAGGCTTCATCCTCAGTAGACAAAGGAGGAAGATATTCCTTTTTTTTTTTTTTTTTTTTTGAAATGGAGTCTCGCTCTGTCACCGAGGCTGGAGTGCAGTGGCACGATGTCCGCTCACTGCAAGCTCCACCTCCCGGGTTGACGCCATTCTCCTGCCTCAGCCTCCTGAGTAGCTGGGATTACAGGTGCCCACCACCACACCTGGCTAATTTTTTGTATTTTTAGTAGAGATGGAGTTTCACCATGTTAGCCAGGATGGTCTCGTCTCCTGACCTCGTGATCCACCTGCCTTGGCCTCCCAAAGTGCTGGGATTACAGGCATGAGCCACTGCAGCCGGCCAGGAGGAAGCTATTCTTATAGTAAAAGAGAGGCTATGTATGTTTTTGGAATTGCTGAATTCCCAAGAGTTGCACAAAAATGGTATCAGGCAGTAACTGTGGCTGTCCAAGGTCTTTTTAGTACAAGATGATTTCCTAACCTGTGGCAAGGAGTTCATCCTACTCTACTCTAGCTGCCACTTAAGGCTTAAACCTGATAGCTGAGTCTGCTGGGAATGTCTTGTACCTGAGTATCTGTGATGCTCCTCACAGTCTTGGTGCAAGAGCTGACAGAACATGACTTTGGCAGGAAACCCATGCACACCTCTTTTCCTGGTTTTGGAATTCTTAACCTGTGTTGTTTTTTATGGCTATTTGTAAGCGTAAAGAGTACTGTAAGAGCTTTGATCATCTTAGTAAGGGTCACAGGTGTCATCTGTTTAAGCAGATATTTTCTTTATCAGGGATAAGGGAACTATTACTTGATAAATATTTCTGCCCTTTGGAGAGAGCAGCATTACAGATTTGGAAACCAATAAATTTGAGTAGGCTAAAAACTTGGTGATTCAAAGTATGACTCTGTAAACCTGGTCAAGTTCCTTAAACGTTAGTCCCCTCATCTTTTAAGTGTGTACAATGTCTATCACATTGGATTGTTTTAGGAATTAACTAAGTTAGGTCCATGTTGTTTGTTAGTGTCTAGCAAAATTGTAAACACACAATGACTGTTAGCTATGATATCTGAAGGGGTAATTATTAAAGGCTTGGTTCAATTTTAGGCTCCTTTAAGGAACAGTGGATATACTGAGTAACATTTGACGGATGCTAGGAATGAAGTTATATTCTTTTTCTGTTTAATTTCAGATGTACTGGCGAAGAATATTTGGTAAAGCAGGGCATCGATCTCTCACCCTGGGGCTTGTGGAAGAATCACGTGGCCTTGGCTTGTATGATTGTTATTTTCCTCACAATTGCCTACCTGAAATTGTTATTTCTTAAAAAATATTCTTAAATTTCCCCTTAATTCAGTATGATTTATCCTCACATAAAAAAGAAGCACTTTGATTGAAGTATTCAATCAAGTTTTTTTGTTGTTTTCTGTTCCCTTGCCATCACACTGTTGCACAGCAGCAATTGTTTTAAAGAGATACATTTTTAGAAATCACAACAAACTGAATTAAACATGAAAGAACCCAAGACATCATGTATCGCATATTAGTTAATCTCCTCAGACAGTAACCATGGGGAAGAAATCTGGTCTAATTTATTAATCTAAAAAAGGAGAATTGAATTCTGGAAACTCCTGACAAGTTATTACTGTCTCTGGCATTTGTTTCCTCATCTTTAAAATGAATAGGTAGGTTAGTAGCCCTTCAGTCTTAATACTTTATGATGCTATGGTTTGCCATTATTTAATAAATGACAAATGTATTAATGCTATACTGGAAATGTAAAATTGAAAATATGTTGGAAAAAAGATTCTGTCTTATAGGGTAAAAAAAGCCACCGTGATAGAAAAAAAATCTTTTTGATAAGCACATTAAAGTTAATAGAACTTACTGATATTCCTGTCTAGTGGTATAATATCTCAGGAATCTTGGCTGAGGGTTTGGAACTGTGGGTAGAGTAGAGGGCCAGGAGTCCAGTAATAGAATTCTTGCACCATTTCTGGAACATTCTAGCTCTGGGAGGTCACGTAACCTTCTTGGGGTAGTTCAGTGGTTTAGTGGTTTATAATCCAGGTGTGCGTCAGAATCATCTGAGGAACTTTGCTAAAATACAAAAATCTGGCCTAAGTAGCTCCAGATCTACCTTCATAAAGGAATCTGACCACTCCTGGATTTGGTAATTTCCAAGTTCTGAAAATTTTACTTAGGATTTAATAACTATTAACATCTGTCCCTACATAGGTTTTCTTTCCTACTTATATACCTTATGTTCTCTTCATTCTAACCTTCATCAGTAATAGGGAAATGTTTTAATTTTATTTTTTTAGTTGAAGGGTAATGTACCAAAAAATATAGTTCAGTGAATTAAAATGAACACACATGTGCAACCATCAATTCAGGTCAAGAAATAGAAGATTGTAGCACACAAAAGCCTACTCAGCCATTCTCCCAGTCACTACTTCCTTCCTTACCCCTGGGTTATTTTTGAAATGACACTTGATGTATTTCCCTCTGTTGCTGTTATGAGAACATTGCTACAGCCAAGTGTTGTGTTTCTGTGTGCATAGGTTGATACTTAATTATCTCCCCACTTTTTAATAAACTTTTAATTTGGAAATAATTTTAGATTGACAGAAAAGTTGCAAAGATAGTGAGGAAAGTTCCTGTCTACTCTTTGCTCAGCTTCCCTTAATGTTAACATTTTATATAGCAAGATGCATTTGTCAAAGCTAACAAGTTAACATTGGTACAATCACTGTTAATTAAACTGCACACAATATTCAGATTTCACCACTTTTCCACTAATATTCTTTCATTGTTCTAGGATTCAATTCAGGAGACCACATTTCATCTAGCCCTCTTTTTTAAAAGTAAATACTTTTCAGCACTTACAGGAGTTAACTGAGCTGGGGCATCATGGTGTATAGACGCCCTGACACTGGTCATCTTGGAATTCATTTAGTTTGTCAGTGGGTGCCCTGACATTCTGTCACAACATCAATTTGGGAACATGGCATTATATTTTTATCTTTGAACTTTTTTCTTTTTGGATGACATTTGATTAATGCGTCATCTTGGAACACATTATCTTTTTTCTTGGTTATGTGATCAGGAAGATTAATCAGTTTTTCCTGTTCTTGGTATAATTCCTGCTTTTCACATACCTGTCCCTTACAGTTCTCTATATATACCCTTCCCTTATTACACAGAGAGAAATATCTATCTATACTTTTTACACAAAATATACTTCAAAAGAAACAAAACAGCCACAATTATTAACTTTTTAAATAAATGAGAATTTAATTATATCCTATTTTATGTATTCTTTTTTTATATTAAAATTACCTTTATATGCTTTTGTTGTGGTAGGAACCAGATAACATAAAATTTACCATCTTAACCATTTTAAAATTAAGGACTTTTTTTTTTTTTTTTTTTTTGAGATAGAGTCTCGCTTTGTCGCCCAGGCTGTGGTGCAGTGGCGCGATCTCGGCTCACTGCAAGCTCCGCCTCCCGGGTTCATGCCATTCTCCTGCCTCAGCCTGTAATGGCTGGGACTACAGGCTCCCGCTACCACGCCCGGCTAATTTTTTTTTTTTTGTATTTTTAGTAGAGACAGGGTTTCACTGTGTTAGTCAGGATGGTCTCCATCTCCTGACCTCGTGATCCACCCGCTTCGGCCTCCCAAAGTGCTGGGATTACAGGCCTGAGCCAGCGCGCCTGGCCAGGAACTTTTTTTAAAGTATGGTTTATTTTCTTATAAAGTAGAAATGTACTTAAGGATATAGATATCCATATATATTATATGTACCCTATATATTATATATATTCTCTGTATTTTTATATCCTCTCTATATATTATATCCTATATATAATTTCTATCTATATAATTATATATATAATGTATATATAATTTATATCTTATATATGGGTATGTATATCCTTAAGTAAATTTCTACTTTATAAGAAAATAAACCACACTTTAAAAAAGTTCCTTAATTTTAAAATGGTTAAGATGGTAAATTTTATGTGCTCATTTTATGTTTTTTATATATATATATTCTTTTGATTTTATTTTCCTGGATGTCAGAACTAATCTATAATGGAGACGAATTAATGTGGTTTAACATAAAAGAAATCTCAGTTAAATGAATATAAGTTGCTATTTATACTGTTTATACTATAAATGTATACTATCTATATTGCTTTGCATTCTTTAGTGGCAATATATACTGTTTTATGATACCTCACTGTACTGTGTCTAAAGAACTTTTCTTTTGGATGTAGCAGTAGGATTATAACAGGTCATTGGCTTGACAACACCTGCAGGTCATTACAGTGTTTTAAAAACTTTTGTCTGGTATTCATAGTAAAAAAAAAAATACTTCATATTGCAGCCCTTTTTTTGTGCATGCACAAAAATATAATCCAAACAAGTTTCTTATGGTGCATTCTGAAAGATATTTAAAAAATAAGGTTTGAGTAAATACATCTTCTATGTCTATCAATATAGACATAAAGCAAATATGCAATCAAGAAATACATGTTTTCAAAGTTATGTAATTATATCCATCTCTTTAATTATTTTTAGTGTCCTGGCTTGATGATTTTTGTGCTTATGCTGGGAATATTGCTCTCCCTACCTCACATGGATATCAAAAGGACTAAGTAATTCTTAATACTTTTTTTTTCATTTCATGTTCTTTGTTTTCATAGAACCTTACATTCCCCAAATTCCTTTATGCATCTGTAAAATGAGAGTTTCTTCTACCTTTAAAGTTCTGTGCATGCATGGATATTTACATTAAATTGTTTTTTTTTCAACTACCTTCAAGAAGAGCAGCCAGCCAATTTGACTTTTTCAATGTCCACTAAATTTCTCAGTGCAACCCTATAATTTATTTATTTTGATTTATTACAAAAATTTGAATTTTCTGTCATGCAAATTCAGACTAAAGTTGCTAAGATCAAGGAGGGGAGGGTAGTCTTTTGTTCAAAAAGTCATCTTTCCACCTGTGCTTCTGGTTGGTCTTGTGTATTTTTTTTTTTAAGACTTTGTTTTGGTTGGTGGAGGCAGGACGGAGGAGAGTTCATTATTCCTGTAAACCAGGGGTTGACAAACTTTCTGAGAAGGGCCTGATACTTTCTCTCTCAGGGTCTTTTTTTTGCTATTTGCCTCTTTTAAAAAACAACTTTATAAAAAAAGTTAAAAACCATTTCTCAGCAATGTAAAAACTCTACTTAGCAGGGGGGCTGTACATCACAGCCAAGGAACACCAGATCTGGCCCAGAGGCCATCATTTGCAGAGATACCTCCTGTAGACAGTTGTTCCTGCTTCATGTGAGACTGTGTCAATATGCTAATATGCTGATAAACCAAAGTTCTAAGAAATTTGTTGTAATTTTAATTTTCAAGATATTATATTGAAATCCTGTTTCTCCTTAATAGAACAAACACAGTGCTTCCTGATACTTCATTCTCTCCCCTACCTCTCTGCCCTGCTTTGACAAAAGGCGAAAAGTGGGTTTCTGCATCTGGCATTAGTTTCAAGGTTGTTCTGAGTACACTCAGTCCTGTGTGGTGGCAGTTAGTGTGGTAAGAGGGGTAAGAGAGGCTGATATCAGTTGAGATGGAACCTTCTGGCCTCAGGGCTTGTGGGGGAGACTGTCTTTTTTTTTTTTTTTTTTTTTTTCATGTTCAGGAATTGTTTGTTTTTGAGACGGAGTCTCACTCTGTCTCAGGCTGGAGTGCAGTGGTGCGATCTTGGCTTACCGCAACCTCAGCCTCCCAGGTTCAGGTGATTCCCCTGCCTCAGCCTCCTGAGTAGCTGGGACTACAGGTGTGTGCCACCACGCCTAGCTAATTTTTGTATTTTTAGTAAAGACGAGGTTACACCATGTTGGCCAGGCTGGTCTCAAACTCCTGGCCTCAGGTGATCCACCCACCTCAGCCTCCCAAAGTGCTGGGATTACAGGTGTTAAGACCACACTTGGCCTGGAATTTTTCTTTTTAGTGCATCCAAAAGCGTGGCTATTCTCTGAGTAATCAATTCACACCAGTGATCCCACCAAGGATCTGTAACCCAGAGCACCAAATTGCTCATTAAAATAGTAAAGTGTTAATGTGGACATTATCTTGTTACATTATTGTCTCAGGTGTGAAACTGAGATCAGAGGGTTCCTTGGTAAACACAGAATTGGGATTTAAGACCAACGCAACAATGTCTATGACATCCATAGGGATTTGTGTGTCAAGCTAACCTGAATAGTTGCTCCAGCTCACCTTCACCAAGACAATGCAGGAGATAGCAGTGTCCCACCCTTGTGGGCTTGTGTTTATCTTCTGTGGACTAAAGATCCTGGCCTTGAACCCCACCAGACATAGCTACCATGTGGCTTGCAGCCTGTTTGTATACATACTTTAAATAAATGGTTGACTTGCATGTTGACTTGTAGACTACTTTTTTCCCTCCACTTAGCAATATGAACAAAATGATACTCTAAATCAAAGTAACTCTTGTTTTCTAAACTATAAACCTTCAAATTTCTTTCTTTCCCTCCCTTCCTTCCTTCCTTTCTTTTTTTCAGCGTCTCACTCTGTTCTTTAGTGCAGTGGCTCAGTCGCAGCTCACTGCAGCTTCGATCTCCCAGGCTCCAGTGATCCTCCCACCTCAGCCTCCCGAGTAGCTGGGACTATAGGTGCACGCCACCACACCTGGCTAATTTTTTTGTAGAGACAAGGTCTCACTTGGTTGCCCAGGCTGGCACATTTCTTTGTGATTACATAGGGTGGAATTTCCAGAGCTTGCCTGATAAGAATCAGTGGTCATCTAGAATGCCTATAATAGGAAGGAAAGTATTACCTTTTTTCTCCCTTGTGTCAGAGGTAAGCTGGAAATTCTAGGTAATTCTTTGGGAAATATAGCACCTACTTAGGATTGCAATAAGAAGTTAAGGCTCACTAACTTCCATTGTTATAATTTGATCTTCATTCAATCACTGGGTAACTGTTGCGTTCAAAGCCATGCGTTGTATTTTGTATCCACCTAAATATCAGAAGCACAAGTAGAACTAAGTGAGCCCATTAACATCACCTGATCTTCAGATCATTTTTTAGCTGCAGAGTCATCCTTCCACCCCTGAGCCCCATAGAACAGCGTACAGATGGTCCTCGACTTACGATGGCGTTACCTTCCGGTAAACCCATATTGTAAGTCAAAAATACACTTAATGCATCGAACCTACAGAATATGATAGCTTAGCCTAGCCTAAAAATGCGCTCAGGACACTGACATACCCTGCAGTTCAAAATCCCCTAACACAAAGCCGATTTTATATTAAAGTGTTGAATATCTCTGTAATCTATTGAATACTGAAAGTGAAAAACAGAATGTTGGTATGATACTCAAAGTCTAGTTCTACTGAATGTGCATGGCTTTTGTACCATTGCAAAGTTAAAAAGCCCTAAGTCAAGCCCTCGCAATTCGGAGACCATTTGTATATGGGCCTCTGCTAAATGACACTTGGAAGTGGTGCTGCTTTGATCAAAGTGAGGATGCGGGCTCTCACTTGGCTCCCTTTGTCAGGCACCAAATTCTGAAGCATCAGCTCAATGATGAGAGGCTTGGCGGTGTGCTGTTTGGAAAACCTCAAGCTGTTTCATCTTTTTCATTTTCCAAATGGGGAAACCTGTATTTAGACTGCAACCGGCCAGAGGTCACACAGATTATTTCCTTGATAAGATTTGGAAAATACTGCAGTATTATCAGGGGCATCTTGACCAATCCTGAGGTGGGTTACTTTGGAAAATGCCCTATGCATAAGCCAGAATGGGTGCAGTGGGTGTCAGTGGAAGCTAAGGAGTTGTAAGAGCTGTGAGGCAAAAATGGGGCCTTTTTATCTCTACAGCTAATCTCTAATTCATTGAATACTGAATGTGAAAAAGAGAATGGTGGTATGGTACTCAAAGTATGGTACTACTGAATGCGTGTGGCTTTCATACCATTGCAAAGTTGAAAAGTCCTAAGTCAAGCCCAGGCAAGATTCCCCAGTTCTCCTCCTCTTGTCATCCTTTACTTACCAGGTCTGTAACCCTGATGGACTAGAGAGGGTAATCTATAATGTTCTTACCCACAAAATAGGGATTCTAATAGTATCTACCACGATCGGGGTATGGAAATTACATAAGATGCTACATGTAAAGTGCCTAGAAGTACCTGGTCATAGGACCTGCTCAATACATTTTTAGCTATTACTGTTATATTCCACAGGACATGACTGGTCATAAGCATCATGCTAGTGGCAGTTCATGGGTGATGCCCTCAGTGGAAACTGAGGCACCATCCTCCAGCATGTGTTGTATGGATTGAGCCAGAGTTCAACAAACTGGCTTGCCAGCCAAATCTAGCCCACTGTCTGCTTTTGAAAATGCAGCTTTATTGGAACACGGCCATGCTCATTCACCTTTGTAGTGTTTGTGGCTGTTTTTGCCCTATGATGGCAAAGTGGTTGCACCAAAGACCATTATGACCTACAAAGCCTAAAATAGTTATTATCGGTCCTGTGTGTAAAGTTTGCAGATCCCTACATTAAACGAGTAGTTCCTGCCTGCTTCCAACAGTTAGAATACACAGGTCCATCAATCAAGCAATATTCGCTTCTCTCAATATCATTCCCATTAACCCCTCTTTAGAATTTACACTCCTGTTTCTGCAGCTTTAGACTCTGCCCGTTTAGATGCCCTGGACTTAAAAAGTAGGAGGACGTGTCCAACCTGGAAGTACAGTGAGGGTTCCACTGAGTCTGATACTGCCTGCCACGTGGTCTCTGGGATTTCCACACCTGTGGAAGAGCAGGCAGAGAAAGGAGATGTGTTTGTCATCCTGAGAGGCTGGGGTTACTGCTACATAATTGGGCAGAGATTTCACAGAGATAACTCAGTGTTTCCATGCTCCACGGCTCTGTAAGGGCAAGGTAACCAAGGGCTCTGAGCCCTCGAGATTGAAGGTTCAGATCAGCGCACCAGGCAAGCAGCTTAGTACAGTTGAAGTACCAGCCGACAGCGAGGGAGCTCCTGGAAGGACATTAGAGGGTGAAGTTATTACTACAGCTGTGTGACCAGTGGCAACAATGGGGACTAGGTAGTTCCATTCCTATATTGTGTTACCTAGAGATTACAGCTGGCCTCTCCCTCAAAAAGTCCAGGGTGTGCATGAGTGGATCTGAATGGTGCAAGGGGTGGACTGAAGTAGACACTTTCATTGCTGTCTCCTATCTGATTTTGGTTGCAGCTCTGGTGGACAGTTCATGTGAGCTCAGATCTTAGCATCCCACCCCTGCACCACACATCTCTTCACTTTCTGCTCCTGGGCTTTCTCCAAAGCTGAAAGAAGCTCACCTTGTGTGCAGGTGTAGCCTGGTAACATCCCAGGAGCACCCCTCAACCAGTAGGGATTGGGGCCAGTGGGCAAATGACCCAGCCTTAGTTCTTCAGACGGGGGCATTCTGTCATGTTCCCAGAGGAGGAGCTGAGGCCCTGCTGCTTAGGAAACACACCGGCGTCCTGGCATTTCCTCCTTTTTTGTGTTACTTTGTTCCCTACTCCAGTTTTTGAATATCACCTCCCAAATAAACTATGAAATACTTGAACCCAAAGTGCTTGTCTTATCTCTTCTTTCAGAGAAACACAAACTAAAACACATTCTCATTAAGACGAGAAATAAACATGTCTACTTTGGCTGCCTCTCTCTAGCATGGTACTGTCCTTATTTACAGATGAGATGGTCTTCTACATAGAAAACCTAAAGAAGGCCAGGTGCGGTGGCTCACGCCTGCTAATCCAGCACTGTGAGATGCTGAGGCAGGAGGATCACTTGAGACCCGGAGTTTGAGGCTGCAGTGAGCTGTGATCACCACTGCACTCCAGCTTGGGCAACAGAGTGAGACCCTGTCTCTACAAAAAAAGAAAGAAAAAGAAAAGAAAACCTAAAGAAACACAGAACCAGAGCTAGTAAAAAACTTCAACAAGTGTGCTGAATATAAGATTAATTTATTTAAAAATTAGTAAATTAATTTCCTTTATAATAGCAATAACCAACTAGAAACAATAATGAAAGAGAAGATTCTGTTCATCATAGCAATAAAACCATAAAACAGTAAAGCTATAGTAGCAATAAGACCATTCATATTAAACAATGCATAAGATCTTTAAGGAATTTTAAAGGTCTTGACGGACCTTTTAAAGGACATGATGGAAGATCTGAATAAAGGGTGCATTATCATGTTTCTGATATTGTAAAGATGTCAATTCTCCTCAAACCAATATATTCAACGCAATTCAAATTAAATTTCAATGAGACTTTTCCCTCTTTTTCCTCTAAGGAACCCATCAAACTTATTTTAACATTTATATGGAAAAAAATGATTCACAAAAATAGCTTAGTCCGATTTTGCAAAACAAAAAATAAACCCAGAGAGGCATCACCTCACCACATCTGAAGACATACTACAAAGATATAGTCATAGAAGTCATTGTACAGGAACAATCCTAGATCAGCAGAACGGGATAAAGTGTTCAAAAACAGGCACATATATGCATGAATCTGAAATATATTGACATCATGAGCTACTAAGGTAAAACGACTTTTTTAATAGAGTGTTGATAAAACTGGCTCATTATGTGGACAAAAATACCTACAGACCTTTTATACAAATTTAAAACATTAAATGTGAAAGATAAAACCATAAGTTTAATAAATAAAAATTGTGTGACCTCATGGTCTCTTGAAGACCCCCAAAACAATGCGGCAAAAACATTGATGAATTTTTCTATGTAAAAATGAGGGAAACATTGGCAAGTTATCAGGTGGATAAGAGATATTAACAGGGTCCAAACTGATAAGGGATTAATATTTAAACAATACAAGAAACTTGTAACAAACGATAAAAAGACCTTGACCAGCAGAGAAATAGGCAATAAACAGAAACATACTTGTTTCCCATTAGATCGAATTGCAAGATTTTAAAGGTTTGATAGGTAATTTACAAAGAGAAACCCTAATGACTAATGACTAGTTGAGGGGATGGATATTCAACTTTATTAGGAATCTAAGATATGCAAAATGAGGTCTCACTTTTAAAACATTCCATCTAGCACAGATGAAGAAGCTAGGTGGTGCCAGTGCTGGTGAAAGTATGGCTAAATCCAGTTTTCTCATGTATGTAGTGGAATCGTAGGCTGGTGCAGTCATTCTGGAGGGCAACCTGATGGTTCTGGGTGAGTATATGCCTGGGATTCAGCACTCCAACTTCTGTTATATACCCACCGAGAAACTTATGAAAAGTCAGTAAGAGAATTTACAAAGATTCTTTTTTTTTTTTTTTGAGACAGAGTCTCACTCTGACACCCAGGCTGGAGTGTAGTGCAGTGGTGCAATCTTGGCTCACTCCAACCTCTGCCTCCTGGGTTCAAGCAATCCTCCTGCCTCAGCCTCCCGAGCAGCTGGAACTACAGGCATGCACCACCACGCCTGGCTACTTTTTTGTATTTTTAGTAGAGATGGGTTTTCGCCATGTTGGCCAGGCTGGTCATTAATTCCTGGCCTCAAATGATCCACCCACCTCAGCCTCCCAAAGTGCTAGGATTACAGGCTTGAGCCACCGTGACCAGCCCAAAGATTCTGAAATAGAATTAGGGCCAACCATTCGCTATAGTAATAGATACTATGTCAAATGTGGCTGCATGCTAGGAAGTGCTACACAATCAACAGGGTAACTTACTAGAGCTGCACACTGCAGAAGAAATACACCTTAATAAAAGCATTGTAAGAAAAAGAAAGGTCTATAGTATACATCTATTTATTTAAACACATAAACAGGATTTATTTTTCTACATATCCAGAATTATCAGAATGGGCCCCTATGAGGGCAATGGCAGAAATGGGTAGTCTGGAGATGGAGAGCATGTAATAGTGGTAGATAATATAAAACGCCTAAAGCATTTATTGGGGCTGATGTGAGAAGCATATGGCACAATACACATAAAAGGACCTTCAAAAATATAAATTGTGTTGGGAGGCCGAGGTGGGCGGATCACGAGGTCAGGAGATCAAGACCATCCTGGCTAACACGGTGAAACCCTGTCTCTACTAAAAATACAAAAACAAAATTAGCCGGGTGTGGTGTCAGGCGTCTGTAGTCCCAGCTACTCAGGAGGCTGAGGTGGGAGAATGGCATGAACCTGGGAGGCGGAGTTGCAGTGAGCGGAGATCGCGCCACTGCACTCCAGCCTGGGTGACAGCACGAGACTACGCCTCAAAAAAACAAACAAACAAAACAAACAAATATGTATAGATATATAAATTGTTATGTACTCAGAATGTATTGTATTGGCAATCTTAATGGTAAAAAAGAATTATTGACCAAGAAACGGCTTTGGTTTATACAAAGACTGAACAGATTTTGCTTGGTCTTATTCAAAGGAAGGGATTTCAAGATGAATCAGGCAACATATAATGGCCTGAACATGAAAACATTTTTATTTTGAACTCAGCATGAAACTTGGAGGACTGCTTTTCAAACCTTTAAAATCTTATACTTTGATCCAATGAAAAAAAATGTGTATTCTTCATTTAAAGAACAGACTAGGATAAAATAAATAAGGCATTAGAAAATTTCATCATGTGTTTCTAGTTTGTTTTTTCTTAAGTTCAAAGACTGGACTCAGATTAAACAGACAACAGTGAACAACTTTTGAACCTGCAACTGCACATTCAACTTAATGGTATGTTCAGATTTGTTTGATAAGCTAATAGACTGATCAGGATAAATAAAACAATTTGTGTTGACAGCAGTAGCTCTATGACCATTCAATACATCTCTTTAGAGTTGAAATTCATAGGCGTTTGGATTTTCTGGGAGCACTGGCTGTCTCCATTGCTTAAGGAATATTGCATTTCTCAAAGCCGTTTTGTTTTCCAAGCTACTGATGTCTTTTAACTATTACTTATAAATAGAAAATAACTTATAATTTTCAACATAGCTCTTACTTGGGTGACCAAATATTCCCAATGCTTCCTCCATTTGGCAGGGTCATGGTGAAAGGTGCAGCATATTCAATTTTTTCATCCCTCTGGATGCAGTAGAGCTCAAGTGGCTTATAATAATACTGCCATTTCAAGGGCATGCCCTTACCTTCTTACGATTTACATGATGTGATAAGGGACCACTGGTCGTTTTAAGTACATCTTTGAGTTGACCCTTTCCCCAATAGTATTAGATGTTTCTTTCTTTTCAAAATGCAAACACCAACTTGAACCAGACAAATATTTCTTTTAATCAGTAAAAGAACCAGCACAGTTCGTAAGAGAAAAAACACAAATGATCCATATGAAAAAATCAAACCCTTATGGAACTGTAAGATTGATGCCACTTTCACTTACTGACAAATATTAATCTTCTCCATCAAAGGTTGTTTTTTCCTTTAAGAGATGAGTGGTGGTCTGTGATTTTTCTAAAAATGTTGGCCATGTTCTACTGTCTTGAAACTTAAATTTACATCCACTAAAACATCTCTACCTCTTAAAGTTTTTGTTTATTGGTTTTTGTGTGTATGTTTTTTGTTTTTTGTTTTGAGACAGGGTCTCACTCTGTCACCAAGGCTGGAGGTGCAGTGGCGAGCACCACCATGCCCGGCTGATTTTTCTATTTTTTGTAGAGATGGGGTTTTTGCCATGTTGCCCAGGCTGGTGTTTACTGCTTTTTAAAGTCTAGAAGAAACTCTAAGAAATCTTGTTTTTTGTGAAGCAGTATCTGAGATTCAGCAATTTCTTCATTTTTGTGCATAATTTTCTTCTGTTTAAATTTAAATAAAAATAAACACTTTTTACAAAAAAGTTCTCTGTGTTTGCAGGTGGACAAATGGGTACTCATAAATTTGGTTATAATATGACTTGGTATAAATGTTCTGAAAAATTGGTAATATGTGTCAAAACCATGTGTTCATATAGATTAACCTAATTATTACATTTCCAGATATTTCTCCATACAGAATTCCATGAAGAAATAACCAGATATGTGAAAAAATTTATGTCGACATATGTTAGTCATGGCATTAGAGGTAATAATAAAAAACGGGAACAATCTAAATGTCCAACAACAGGGCAGATGTATTTTGGGTAATTCATATGAATTAAAAATGTATAACAACTTATGAATTAATTGACATGTATCACATATTCATATATTATATATATTTTTTTAATTTTAGTGACAGGGTGTCACTCAGTTCAGGCTGAAATGCAGTGGTAGTGTGATCATAGCTCACTGTAACCTTAAATTCCTGGGCTCCAGCAATCCTTCTGCTTCAGCTGCATAGCTGGGAATGCCGGCATGTACCACTATGCCCAGATTATTTTTATAGAGACAGGGTCTCGCTATGTTGCCCAGGCTGGTCTTGAACTCTTGGCCTCAAGCAGTTTTCCTGCCTCAGTCTCCCAAAGGTCTGGGATTACAGATGTGAACCACTGTGTCCGGCCTTCATAAATAATATTAATTTATATTGATTCACTCTGTAGTTATTAATAGAAATCAGGGTTTCATGGAATGTTTATGATACAGTATGAAGTGAAAAAGCCGTACACAAAACTGTACAAATAATAGCCCAATTTTGAAATACAAACACAGAAGACTTTTAAGTAAGTATTGAGTTATCATTTGGCAACATCATTCTCCTTTATTTACCTTTCAAATTTGCAGTTGTCAAGAATTCCTTTCCTTTTTGCTGATTCAACAGATTGTAACTTGCTGAGCAAGTCACTGGGCTAGGTACTGTAGTACCGCCTTCCATTTGTAATGGAAATTTCAGCTTTAAAGTGCTTTCATACATATATATTCTTACTGCACAAGCAAAATCCTATGAGGGAGACAAGTATTGATTTTCCCATTTGACAAATGAAGAAATAAGAGTCTTCAGAGAAACTGGACCAGTTGTCTTGGCATAATCACATGACTAGGAAGTATAGAGTGGGGACCAGAGTCTTAGCCTAGTGCTTGTTTCTTTATGCTTTTAAACTTATCTGTTTTATGGGTGGTCTGCATAGAGAGTCACCATGTGGCACAACTCCATGGAGCCCCATTTGTAGTATTCTAAGGGGATGGAATCCCTTAGGATTGAACAATGCGTGATCATACATAGTGTATAACGTGGGCACCTTGACCATGTGGCACTTCAGTGTATGCCTGCTGGTTTTCATCTACCAGTGTCTGCATTTCTTTGCCTACAGGCTTGCTCAGAAGCCAGCAAAGGCTGCTTTGTCTACTGGACGTGCTAGGGAATTGCTATCATTCTCCCAGAGTGGTCTTTCAACCAAAGTCCTGGCCCTTCAGCTGGGATAAGTCTGAATTGTTTGTTCTCATTTGTCCTAAACTGTTTCTCAGCATTTTACCACAGGAATTAGGCTTTGGCAGCCTATGCTGTTATGCAGCTAGACGACACGCCCTTTACTGGCACCCTCTCTTCTCCCCGTCCTTCCCACTCCACTATCCCTATTGCCTACACCTCTCAAATAAACCACCTGCCCTGGAATCTTCGTTTCAGGAAAATAAAAACAAAAATGCCATAAATGACAGCCCTGTGCTTAAAGGCTAACTGGGTACCTGAATTGTGTAGCTCGTGTAATAAACAGAGAAATGTACCAATTAATGTTTTCGGACATAGAGAAGGTGCCTTTTTCAAAGTCAAAGTCTCATGATAAAAGGCACATTACCTGTGACTACTTAGAAAACAGACAACTCTCACATCTGCTACTATATCAAGTTTTTATTAAGAAGTAAAGTGCTCAGTATTACACATTAATAACATTCTTGATTGTCGAGAAAGACTTGCGTATGTAATGTCTTTTTAATAATACCAGTACACAGGGAAAGATAATAGGGAAGAGATGAGGGGGGGAGTTCTCCATGACTAAAGAAGAAAAATATATGTAATTTATGGGTAGAAAGGAGGAATTCTGCAAAATTTTGCAAGTGAAATGAAAAACAGTACAATAAAAAGTATCATAAAGAGACTTTCTAGTGACCATAATTGATATATGGCACATGGTCGATACACATGGATACCACATAATAGCTGCACTTCAAATTGAAGTTTGTTTACATGTAACAACATGGTACATATACATAAATATGTACAGTCAATATCCCTGGAATGCAAACTTTAGTATGTAGTAATAAAGAACTTTGTGTAGCATATTCAAGAGAAAGTAAAGATAGAGATGAAGCCATGAGGAAAAACTTACAGAAACCCAGTATGTTTCACTTTCAACCTGGAAAGGTCTATTTGCTCATGTTCTCATTGGAGATTGGACTGACATTCTACCAGTTAAATGAACAACTTGTGAAATTAAAATATAGCATTAAACGACAGGATTCTCTTGGTTCTCCAAGTGAGGGTTATTCAACAGCACTGCATGCTCTTTTGCTTATTAGCGCTCAAAATGTCACCTTACTCAACATTTCTGTAAAAGAAGATTTTTTTTTTTGAGAAATAGATTTCTCCCCATAAATTTGGGTGAGACCCTCTCGTAAAGAAAACAGTGTTGCTAACTCAAATTTTGGCTGATACTGTCTAATGTATGAACTTTTAATACCAAAACCTCTTTTTTATTAGACTGAGCTCCATTTGCATTACAAATTCTAGTTTTGAAACACAGGATCAAGAATACTTGAGTACTATATTTTTTATTTTTGCATTTTTTGTAGAGATGGAGTTTCGCCACATTGCCCATGTTGGTCTTGAACTCCTGGGCTCAAGTGATTCGCCTGTTTCGGCCTCCCAAAGTGCTGGGATTACAGGCGTGAGCCGTCATACCTGACCGAGTACTATATTCTTAAAATAGTTTAAAACCAAATGCTTTATGAATTTCAAAACTTTCTTAAAATTTTGCTTAAAATGAACATAATTGTTGGATAAAAACTTTCAGTGCATACTAAAAATTTAGTAAGTTGGTCTCACTAGATGAGTTATAACATTAAATTCAGTTGCAAATGAGTAGAGCCACATGGGAAAAAGAATATGCAGATAAATCTTTAGGCTAAACTAACCATTAAAAGAAATTAAACTGAGTGACAACTTAGGGCTCCTTCCAATTCTCCTGTGTTATGGTTAGAGATGCCATTTTATCCTATAACTGATCTTTGGTGGTTTTACTCAGCTTATTCAAATTAGAGCCAAAATAAGGTAAAAATTAAGTGATACAGTTAGTCCCACAGACATCAGATACGATCAACTTACAAAAAAGCATAGTATTTAACATTCATCTTAACCATTCACACAGATTCTATCATAGTTTGGAGTTCCTTTCCATTTTATCTTTTAGAAAAGTTTACCCCAGGAAGCTAGTTGAAAAAAAAGGCTCCTTTCTTAAAAGAAAGCTATGTATTAAGCTCATGAACTATGCCAGAGTGGAAAGGAATGCCCCATTTTCCTTCACACTCTTGGAAAAAAATAACAATACTGATTTTTGTGACTGGAAATGAAACTCAGAAGCCCTTTGACAGTTTTCTAGCTTTAAAAGGCTACTTCATTGTCAACTGAGAAGACTCAGTCATGGTGGCAACTGGGCGTACCGCTCAATACACATCATGAAGATTTTTTTTCTGTACTCAATATTTACACCTAGATTTCTTATATGAGAAAAAGAAAAAAAAATCTTTGAACCATGGGTAAAGTTTATATAAAATAAATTAAAGTGCAGAAGATTAGCAATCGGTCACAAAGACTAGCATCCTATGGTGGTCAGGGCATATAAATAGTGTGCTTGTTACAGCAATTCAGGACAGCCACTTCCTCACTTATTAGAAACACACATACTGAAACACACATATCATACGTGGACATTAGAACTCCCATTTCCACCTGCACCTTCCATGCCTTCTGTAGATTGGGAGGAAGATGGGCGGGAGCTTCTGGGGCGAGGTTGACCATTTAGTCCCACTGGCGTGCCTAAACCATGACTGATCTGGGAAGCTGCATCATCGGATTCCCAGCGTTCCAACTCTTCACGTACTAGCCGTTCCATCTGTTCCCTATGGATTTCACTGTCACGACCCAGCCTTTCATCCTAAAAAGGGAAAAAGAAACTGGTGTTGGGGGCAGTAGAAGGAAATGCCTTAGGAAGTCCAGGGACCAAATAATCTGTAGTTTGGTAAGGCTGGAGATTTACAGCATATAATAGCAAATCTCAGAGTTGCTGGAGTAATTTTTCACTTAATTCTACCCTGCAGTGAAGGCAGGACCATTAGCATATGGAGTATTAAGAAAGTAACACCTCCAGATTATAATTTTATCTGTAGTTATGGAGAAAGATAAACATCTCAGCCTAAGGGTTAGACAATATGACTACATTGATGTTTTATAGCAAGAGATTTTATAGAAAGAGTGTTTCTGTTTCAGAGAAAAAAATCTGAAAATGAGAGTAAATGGAAACATCATTGTGAATTTCTATAAACGTAAATTTTTTTTACTCTTCTTCAATACTTCAAATACAACTGTCAGCAACATATATTTTCATTAATAACACCATGCTCAGCAGCGGTGTTTTCAGCTCATGACTACTGACCTCGGCCACCCCATCCAACAGCCTTCCCAGCACCTCCCTCCTCTTCAGTTTGGCTCGCTCCATAATCTCTAGCTTCACGATCACGGCGTCAATCTTGGACACTATGCTGCCGATGGAATGCTCCATCCGGTCCACTCGTCTCACCAGGCTGCAAGGAAAACACAGTACAGAGGGACAAAGTGCTTGTCATTGTCTTTTCAGCCCCACTGGCTTTTCAAAAGGAAGTGCTAAGATTTTTTTCTTAAGCAACACAATCATTTGAAACACTTTCTAAGTTGTCTCAAGCTTTACAGATTAACTCTCGGATGCCGCTGGTAGGAGTGTTAACTGAAACAACTTTCCTGCAAGTCAGCGCGTATCAGAAGTCTTAAGAATGTATGCCTAACCCTTTAGTTAGACATTCCATTTTTAGAACATTTTCTAAAGGAAAATTTTATATATGTGTAATTTTTGGCTATAAAAGAGTGCTGCTTCTTAATCGCGGATCATTGAAAAATGGCTACATCAAACAATTGATGGGGGGGTAGGGCATGATGGCTCACGCCTGTAATCCTGGCATTTTGGGAGGCGGAAGTGTGCAGATCGCTTGAGGCCAGGAGTTCGAGCCAGCCTGGGCAGGATGGCAAAACTTCATCTCTAAAAAATAGGTGGGCATGGTGGCATGTGCCTGTACTCCCAGCTACTTGCGAGGCTGAGGTGGAAGGATCACCTGAGCCTTGGGATGTTGAGGCTGCAGTGAGCCGTGATCATTCCACCGCACTCCTGCACTCCAGCCTGGGTGACAGAGTGAGACCCAGTCTCAAAAACAAACAAACAAACAAAAAACACCCAACAATTGGTAGGAAATTAAATAATCATTGTTCATCCATACAATAAAATTCTAAGGAGACATCAGACATTATACTGTGGCAGACTATTTAATAAAATAGAATTAGATTTACAATATATTAAATAAAGCTTGAAAAACAGTATGAAAACAGCATGTTCACTTACAATTCTATTATTTTGAACTTAAAAAATGTATACAAATACTTTAAAAACTCGTAAGCCAAAGACAACCTCTGCAATGGTGGCAAGAGGGTTCTGTAGACTCTCTCTTTAGTGAAATAACTGTAACTGTTGAAAATTATTTTTTAAAACTCAAATATTAAAAATTTCTAGAAACTTTTAAGGGTGTACAGCAAATGAAAAAGCATTTATTCAAGAAAATCTACTAAATTTTAGTATGAAGAGATTCTGTGGCACTGAAGCCATAATCTGAGCCTTCTCTCCTGTCCCCAGCTCATGTGATAGAAGCACAACTTCACATGGGTGCAGCTAAGAGCACAGGGCTCCCTCCTCCCCCAACTTCCAGTCTAGGGCTACAGTATCTCCCAGGGAGGGGCAGGCTGCCAGCATTTCTCATCCTAACATTTCCACTCTTTTTTTTTTTTTGAGACAGAGTCTTGCTCTGTCGCCCAGGCTGGAGTGCAGTGGCGTGATCTTGGCTTACTGCAACTTCTGCCTCGTAGGTTCAAGTGATTCTCCTGCCTCAGCCTCCCGAGTAGCTGGGACTACAGGTGTGCACCACCATGCCCAGATAATTTTTCTATTTTTTAGTAGAGATGGGGTTTCACCACGTTGGCCAGGCTGGTCTCAAACTCCTGACCTCAGGTGATCCGCCTGCCTGCCTTGGCCTTCCAAAGTGCTGGGATTACAGGTGTGAGCCACTGTGCCCGGCTTTCCCACTCTTGTTACAAAAGTTTTTTACACCTTTTTTTTTTTTTTTTTTAATAGAGACAAAGTCTCGCTATGTTACCCAGGTTGGTCTTGAACTCCTAGCGTCAAGTGATACTCCTGCCTTGGCCTCCCATAGTGCTAGGATTACAGGCATGAGCCACCATGCCCAGCCTCAATGTTCCTACTCTTTTTTTTTTTTTTTTTTTGAGACAGAGTCTCACTCTGTTGCCCAGGCTGGCGTGCAATGGTGTAATCTTGACTCACTGCAACCTCTGCCTCCAGGTTCAAGCAATCCTCCCACTTCAGGCTCCCGAGTAGCTGGGATTACAGGTATACACAACCCACCAGTTAATTTTTCTATTTCTTGTAGAGATGAGGGTCTCACCATGTTGCACAGGCTGGTCCTGAACTCCTGGCTCAAGCAATCCTCCTGCCTTGACCTCCCAAAGTGCTAGGATTACAGGCGTGAGCCACTGTGCCCAGCCTGTTCCCATTCTTAAATGCATGTTGCAGAGGTTCTAATCCTGTTAAGAGTGGCTAAGGGGAATGGGGCTCTCTTCTTCCACTCAGTTCCCACTTGTAGGGTGGAGTTTCCATGCCAGAAGAAGCAAGGTGAGAAAATCAGAGACTGCCATCTGAGCCCAGTGACTTGTTCATAAAGCAGGATGCCACAGAGAGGTGGGCCACTGTCCCTGGCTCTGTAAAGCAGTAGCAGTTTTGCTCATGGGGAGACACAGGTCATAGGAATATAGAACTCTTCTCAAGTGAATGGACTTTATTTGGAATGAAGCGTGAGGAAATTAAAGACTAACGATGCTCTTGAAAACAATGGAGATTGTGGGGATAAGCATTTACAAGGAATCTGGTAGCCTTATGAGATAAACAAATTACCAGCTAGTTCACCAGAGAGAACCAGGGAAAGAGACAGCTAAGAAGACAGTTAAAGACTGGCCTCAGGGGCCAGGCGTGGTGGTGCATATCTGTAATCCCGGCCTTTTGTGAGGCTGAGGTGGGTGGATTGCTTGAACTCAGGAGTTTGAGACCAGCCGGGGCAACATGGTAAAACCCCATCTCTATAAAAAATGCAAAAATTAACCAGGCATGGTGGCGTGCACCTGTAGTCCTAGCTACTTGAGAAGCTGAGGTGGGAAGATTGCTTGAGCCTGAGAGATTGAGGCTGCAGTGAGCTGAGACTGCACCACTACATTCCGGCCTGGGCAACAGAGTGAGACTCTGTCTCAAAAAAAAAAAAAAAAAAAAAAAAAGACTGGCCTCTAAAACTAGCCCTGCAAAGAGGCCTGAATTTAAGTGGATCAGACTGTGGAGCAAATTACATCCCAAGGCATTCTGGAAAACAATAGACCAATCAGTAAACAATGAAATGTAATAACTGGGTCTAATATCCACAGAGGCAGGAGGTATAACAAAGAGGTCAGAGAAAGTTAATGAGCACGCTGCTAAAACCACTGTCTTCCCAGAGTGACTACGTACATGGCCACAGCTGCGCCCTCTAAGGAATAAAGTCAGAGGCAGACACTGTGGGGAAACAGACTGTATGAAAAAGTAAACAAGCAAAGAGAAATAAAAACAAGTCCTGGGGAGGAAAGGGAATCACTAGCCAGAGTTCCTACAATATATTATCTAACATGTCCAATCTTTAACAACAACAACAACAACAAAACAAAACAACAAAAAACAAAACAAAAAAACAGGAAAATGTTCCCATACACAAGAAGAAAAAAAAAAAGACAACTGAAACTGTCTTTGAGAGGGCCCAGATGTCAGACTTAGCAGACAAAGACCTGAAGGTACCTATTATAAATATATTCAAACAGGTTAAAACAAACAAACAAATAATAAAAAACCCCACCATGGTTAAAGAAATAAAGGAGGCTGGGTCCAGTGGTTCATGCCTGTAATCCCAGCACTTTGGGAGCCTGAGCAGGGAGGATCACTTGAGCCCAGGAGTTTGAGACCAGCCTGGGCAACTTAGACCCCATCTCTACAAAAAATAAAAATTAGCTGGGTACAGTGGCTCATGCCTGTAGTGTCAGGTACTTAGGAGGCTGAGGTGGGAGGATTGCTTGAGTTCAGGAGTTCGAGGCTGCAGTGAGCTAGGATCATGCCACTGCACTCTAGCCTGGGTGACAGAGAGAGACCCTATCTCTTAAAAAAAAAAGGAAGTTATGATGACATTGTCTCATCAAATACAGGATATCATCAAATACAGAATAAAGAGACAGAGATTGCTAAAAAGAACCAAATAGAAATTCTGGAGTTGAAAAGTATAATAAATAAAAAATTCAGGCTAAGTGCGGTGGCTCATACCTGTGACCCCAGCACTTTGGGAGGCCGAGGCGGAAGGATCACTTGAGGCCGGGAGTTTGAGACCAACCTGGGCAACATAACAAGATGCCATCTCTACAAATTTTTTTTTAAAAATTAGCCAGGCATGGCAGCATGTGCCCATAGTCCTAGCTACTTGGGAGGTTGAGGCAGGAGGATCATTTGAGCCCAGGTGTTCAGGCTGTAGAGAGCCATGATTACACCACTGTACTCCAGCCTGGGTGATGGAGTGAGACCCTGTCTCCCTGTCTCTCTCTCTCTCTCTTTCTCTCTCTCTCTCTCTCTCTCTCTCTATATATATATATATATATATATATATAAAATAAATAAATAAATAAATAAATAACTAGAGGAGCTCAACAGAGATTTAAGCAAGCTGACAGAAGAACAAGTCAGTGAACTTGAAGATACATCAATACAGACTATGCACTCTGAGGAACAGAGAGGGAAAAAAAATGACGACGAACAGAGCCTAAGAGAAATATGTGATACCCCTAAGCATATGCATAATGCGGGTCCCAAAGGAGAAGAGAAAGTGAAAGAAGCAGAAAAAACACTTTCTAAGTAGGATGAACTCAGAGATTTATACCCAGACATATCACAGTAAAAATAATGAAAGACAAAAGCAAAAAAATCTTGAAAGTGGTGAGAGAAAATTGAGTCATCATGTACAAGGGGACCACAGTAAAATTAGCACCTGTCTTCTCATCAGAAACAATACAAGCCAGAGGAAATGAAGGAGAAAGAAAAACATTCTCAGATAAACAAAAAATGAAAGAATTCATTGCTAGCAAACCTGCTTTACAAAAAATACTAAAGGAAATTCTTTATGCTGAAAGCAAGTGACTCCAGATAGTAATCAGAATCCACATGAAAAGGCAAAGAACACTGGTAAAGATAACTGTGTAGGTATAAAATATAGTATATATGTACATTTCTCCTTTTGTTCCTTAACTGATTTAAAAAGCAGTTGTGTAAAAATATGTACATAATTGGATCTGAAGGTCTATAATAGAAATGTAATATATTTGACAATAATAGGAGGTAGGCAGTAGCAAAGCTGTATCGGAGAAAGAGAATGACGACAGATGATAACTTGAATCCAGAGGAGCAAAAGAAGAGAATTAGAAATGGTAAAAAAGTAGGTTAATATACACATTTATAAATATATACTTCCTCTTCTCTCAGCTTCATTAAGAGATATAAAATTATATACTATATATTACACAGTGTGTTATAAAAATGTAACATTGTTCTAACAATGTGATTTGCAACATATGTAGATGACTATATATACATATAGATAGATGAATATATAGCACAAAAAGAGGGAAGAGGAAAAAAGCTAAATAGAAATGATTTCTATATCTCACTGGATTCAGTTAATATATATCTGAAGTAATTTTTCATAACTTAATTGTATAAACTAAGTCTTAGAGCAACTCCTGACTAAAAAAAATGAAAAATCATTAAAAAAATTTAAATGTTATACTTGAAAATATTCACTTAATGTACAAGAAAGCAGTGAAAGAGGAACAAAAAAAAGTAAGCTAGAAAACAAAAAATAAAATAGCAGACAGAAATCAACTACATCAATGATAACATTAAATGAATGGATTAAGCAATCTAATCAAAAACAGAAATTGTCAAACTGGATAAAAAGATAAGATCCAATTATATGCTGTCTACAGGAGAGACATACTTCAGACTGAAAGATATAAATAAGTTTAAAGTAAAAGGATGGAAAAAGATTTATCATGCAAACAGCAACCAAAAGAAAGCTGGAGTGGTTACAGTAATATCAAACAAAAAATACTTAAAACAAAGAATTTTACTAGAGATAAAGTGGATAACATCTTGTAATGAAAACAGGGTCAATTCTTTTTTTTCTTTAGCCTCATTAAGTTGAGAGAGAAAATAGGGTCAATATATTAGGAAAATATACTAGTTATAAATATGTATGCACCCAACAACAGAGTTCCAAAATACACAAAGCAAAACCTTACAGAATTGAAGGGATGAACTCCAACTAATAATACTTGGAGACTTTAATACCCCACTTTCAAACGTGAATACCACATCTAGGCACATCTAAGATCAACCAGGAAATGGGAGACCTGAATAAAACTGTAAACAAACTAGACCTAACAAACATCTACAGAACACTTGAACAGCAGAATATTCATTCTTCTCAAATGCACAAGGAACATTCTTCAGGACGAACCATATGTTAGGCCATAAAAATATATAGAAACATTGATAAACACATGCAAATAGAGACACAAACACTGATATATTAATAAACATTTTTCATTGGTAGAAATATGTGAAATGTTAATGTTTTCTTTTGCTCTTATTTGCTAATTTTTATAGTAAACATATTATGTAAGAAACAAAACACCAATTGACAAGTTTTTTTTTTTTTGAGACAGAGTCTTGCACTGTCGCCCAGGCTGGTGTGCAGTGGAGCCATCTCGGCTCTCTGTAACCTCCGCCTCCCGGGTTCAAGCAATTCTCTTGCCTCAGCCTCCCAAGTAGCTAGGATTACAGGTGCCCACCACCATGCCCAGCTAATTTTTTGTATTTTTAATAGAGATGGGGTTTCACTATGTTGGCCAGGCTCGTCTCGAACTTCTGACCTCATGACCTGCCTGCTTTGGCCTCCCAAAGTGGTGGGATTACAGGCATGAGCCACTGCGTCTGGCCAGTATAAGTTATTTTTAAAAGCTGGATGATTAGTAATGGAAAGGAGTGAATTCAGAGAGATGAGGGAACTGCCTGGTCTCATGTGGACTCTTGTCAACGCAAATTCTGCCAATTCCTTTATACTTACACTTGAAACTCTTCGTAAGAAACGCCACTAGAAATGCTTCCCCTCCTTCTGGAGCTATGTCCGCTATCTTCATCGTCATCCTCCTCAGAGTCATCCAGGCTTCGAGGGAAACTTCGGCTGCTCATGGGACGTGGTAAAGAACTGTGATCCAAATCCAGGTCCTCCTGAAGAACAAGGGGTCACTGAGTGAGGAGCAGAACACTGAGACCCCACAGAAGCCTCACCAAGGACTTGGGCAAGCAGGAACTGGGTGCATGCCATTTACCTGGGATTTCTTTGTATTTAACACCAGGCTGGGACTCCTGCATTTTTCAGTTTCATAGATTGGCAAATTTAACTAACAGCAAGGAATAGCCAACTTTTTGTTTGAACAAGAAAGAACATTAAAAACACAGCAGGCAAAGAAAAAACTAAATGAAGAAATATGGGCCAGGCATAGTGGTCACACCTGTAATCCTAATACTTTGGGAGGCTGAGGCAGGAGTACTGCTTGAAGCCAGGAGTTTGAGACTGGCCTGGGCAGCAAGGTGAGACTCTGCCTCCACAAAAAATTTTTTAAAAAATTAGCCAGGCATGGTGATGCATGCCTGCAGTCCCAGCTACCTGAGCTACCTGGGAGGTTGAGGTCGGAAGATCACTTGAGCCTAGGAGTTTGAGGCTGCAGTGGGCCATGAGCCATCTTAAAATAATAATAAAATAAATAAAGAAATGAAGAAATATATTACAGGTTGAGTATCCCTTATTTGAAATACTTGGGATCAGAAGTGTTTTGGATTTGGGATTTTCAAAAATATTTTGGAATGTTTGCATTATACTTACTGGTTCAGCATCCCTAATCTGAAAACCCAAAATCCAAACTGCTCCAATGACAGCATTTCCTTTAAGCATGACCTTTGACTATCATGTTTGTGCTCAAGAAGTTTTAGGTTTTGGAGCATTTCAGACTCACATATTTGGGTTAGGGATGCTCAACCTGGATCGCCTTCTTTTCATAAAAGATAATACATTCAACAGCTCCAAAGTAGGAAAGATGTAATGTCAGAATAAGAACTTTGTCTAAATAGAGCCTTGTAAAAATTTTCCTCATTTTCTTTATGCTTAAATTTCACTGTGACTGGAGAAGTCTGTCACCTACTAGCACTGTCTGTGGAGTGGCATTTAGAAACCACTGTCCTAGACTTCTCATAGGAAAGTGGCTTTTGTAATAACATTCATCTGTGTTCTCTGTACCTCAGTTACCACAGATTTTTGTTGTTGCTGTCTAACCATTTATTTTTGAAAGTTAATGGTAAAGCTTTGAATTTTTTTTTCTGACTATAAAAGCCCACTTATGTTTATTTTTAACTATTTTGTAAAAAGTATTCAAATGGAAGGCGGCTGTTAATTTTATTATAAATGTTAATAATTTAGGAAAGGCACGGTGGCTACTGCCTGTAATCCCACCACTTTGGGAGGCCAAGGTGGGCAGATTGCTTGCAGTCAGGAGTTTGAGACCAACATGGTGAAACCCCATATCTACTACAAATACAAAAATTAGCCGGGCATGATGGCATGTGCCTGTAGTCCTAGCTACTTGGGAGGCTGAGGCAAGAGAATCGCTTGAACCCGGGAGGTGGAGGTTGCAGTGAGTCGCGATTGTGCCACTGCACTCCAGCCTGGGAGGCAGAGCAAGACTCCATCTCAAAAAAAAAAAAAAAAGAAAAAAAAGTTAACAATTTAAATAGCCACTAACTAACCAGAATAATTTCACATCTCTTGGTAAGTCATTTTTTGTTTTCTTCACTCTCACGGACATTGTGGACTCTGCAGCTAATCAGGCTTCTCTTTTCAAGCTGATTACCAGCAAGCTTAGGGCCCAATTTGTAGCCCAATCTTAATAAGCATATGTGTTTTTATGAATGCATTTTTAAGCTTCATTAATAATCCATTATTTTTACTTTTGTTTTGCTTGCTTTTCATTTTGACGTTTTTATATCATGCTAACCACCCATTTTTATACATAATTGTGTTATATATTCTTTCTGGAATAAACAGGGTACTAACACATAAACCGACTGAGAGAGAGAGAGAGTGTGGTGGGGAATGGGCAAGAGACTCAATAACCCACTACTTCTATAGTGTTTGATACATCTGTGGTGTTGTAGGTACCAAATCAAATCCGGTTCTCCTAAACCAGACCCACCCTCTCTTTCTCCAAGTCGTCTCTCATCTGCTGATGTTCATGTTCGGTCAGTTCTTGGTCTCCATCTTGGTCGTACTTTGTGAATATTGCCTCAATCTCTGCATCAGTATGGCCCTTCCTGAAATTAGAGAGAGGATACAGATAAAAATCATTCCTTGTACCCAGTTCACCCTCAACACAGAGACATCAAAATGCAGGAGGAAAGGAGAAATCACCAAATGGGGGCAAGTTTTCCTCTTATAACATGTTCCAGAAAGATACCTGCCTCTGGAAAAAAAAAAAAAAAGTATCTGTATGAGCCCTTGGGCTAGAAATACTCTTATCACCAGGAATTTATCTTTAGAAGCAGGAATTTTTCAGAACCTCAGGAAGCATGATTCTCACCCTTTGAGATCTTGTCGAAGTTCGTCAAAGTTTAACTTGCCTCCTCCTTGCCGCAGACTCTCTGAAATGTCATCCACGGTATTTTTTTTCAGTTTTAGTTTGACCAAAGCTTTATGGTAGCCCTATCAGAGAGAGAAAAAATAAAAGACTTGGTTTAGTGTATTCTCCTTTTGCATCTGTTTTACTTTCCATTCACAGTAGTAACTACTACAAACCTGGTGTACATTGGCCATTCAACAAGTACGTGCTGGATGAATGAAGAATTAATGTATCCAGTTTTCCATAAAACACTTGTGGAACAGTTACATGGAAAAAGTCAGGGTCTTTCAGTAAGTCATGAAGAACTAAAGGTCTTTTACTCATATGTGTATTCAAGTTTATGTGATAGAAACAAAAATTACTATATATGCTATAGCTGTCTGCCTCAGAGCATAAAGTACTGTGCAACAGTTCTTAGGAATACCAAGAAACCCGAATCATGAATTGCATTTTTATTTTTTATATTATCTATCTTCTAGACAGTAATTTCCTTAAGTGTGTATAAACAAACAAACAAACAAACAAAAAACCCAGTGAAATGTAGATGAGGATTTTCCCTTTTTTTGAGACAGGATCTTACTCTGTCACCCAGGCAGAAGGGCAGTGGCGTGATTCTGGCTCACTGCAGCCTCGACCTCCTGAGCTCAAGTGATTTTCCCAACTCAGCCCCCAACAAGTAGCTGGGACTACAGGTGTGAGTCACCACGCCTTGCTATTTTTTTTTTTTTGTAGAGACAGGGTCTCACCATGTTGCCCAGGCTGGTGTTGAACTCCTGAGCTCAAGCGATCTGCCTGCCTCGCCTTCCAAAGTGCTAGGATTACAGGGGTGAGCCACTGCCCCTGGCCGAGGATTTTTCATTAGCGAACTTTAGACCTGACCTTGCTTTGCACATAGTGCGGCACTGTAAGTGACCATGCAAGCTGAAATTGTGCAAAATGATCTGAATAATCAGTGGGAAGAATTACAATTGTTCTGTGATCTTTACAACTTTTAATCAAAACATTAAACACTCCCTTAGTGTCAGTTATAAATGTATAGGGAGCTTAAAAAAGAAGAAAACTAATATTGATTTAATACACTAAAATGTAAAACATTAGAAACATTAAAAACTAAAGTGTTTTATTTCTTTGTAAAAAATGTATCCAGAGTAGTTTAAACAGCACTTGCCTTGTTTTCATTGTATAATATTACACTGTACACTTTACAATGTGGAGTGAACTTCTTTTCTATGCATTAGTGAATTGTCATATTCCTTCTTAAATGTGGATGAGCTTCCAACATATTTTTCTTTTATTTATTTTTGAGACACAGTCTTACCCTGTCACCTGGCTGGATTGCAGTGGTGCAATCTCAGCTTACTGCAACCTCCGCCTCCCTGGTTCAAGCAATTCTCGTGCCTCAGCCACTTGAGTAGCTGGAATTACAGGTGTGCACCATCATGTCTGGCTAATTTTTGTATTTTTAATAGAGACGGGGTTTCATCATGTTGATCAGGCTTGTCTCGACTTCCTGGCCTCAAGTGATCCACCCACCTTGGCCTCTCAAAGTGCTGGGATTACAGGAGTAAGCCACCATGTCCAGCCCCAACATTTTTTCTTTTGTACTTTCATTATTGTGAAATATCTCTAATAAGACTTCCCTTAATGTGAAGTTTTTTGCAGGCATCATTTCCTCAAGACATCTTCATCTGTTTTATCACAGCTATTTTCCTCATTTAAGTTGATAGACCTGCCCTAAGTTCTTCTGGCTCCATATCTGGATCTCTTGAATGATCGCAGTGTCAACACTCCTATTTCTTCTTCACTCAGCTATTTCTTCTATAAATCCATTACTCTGTTTTGATTTTCACTTCCAGTGTTACCATTTTTCATTTCTTTGCTAGCCCATTCTCTTTTTCTTTTCTTTTCTTTTCTTTTTTTTTTTTGAGACGGAGTTTCGCTCTTGTTACCCAGGCTGGAGTGCAATGGCACGATCTCGGCTCACTGCAACCTCCGCCTCCTAGGTGCAAGCGATTCTCCTGCCTCAGCCTCCCCAGTAGCTGGGATTACAGGCATCTGTCGCCACACTCAGCTAATTTTGTATTTTTAGTAGAGATGGGGTTTCACCATGTTGGCCAGGCTGGTTTCGAACTCCTGACCTCAGGTGATCCATCCGCCTTGGCCTCCCAACATGCGTGAGCCACTGCACCCATTCTCTTTTTCAATTATCCATTTTTGTAAAATGTCACATGGGCTTATTACTGGAACACAAGGAAGCAACACTACATGCTTTCTTTGTTTGTGAATTGGATAGCAGATGCTCAGTGACCAATTAGTAACAGACTGAAAATAGTGTCATGACTGACCAGTGAGCCTGCTCAGCCTGCACATCTGTTACTCAGGTAACTGATCTATACACTGAAGAGCTAGCAGTGGAGTTTGTACTTTGTGCTGTTACTCAGAGTTAATATACTATGATAACTGAAATTTGAACTGTGTTGTTGAAGGTGGTGTTACATAACAAAACTGGGGTAACCAAAGTTTGTGTGTATCAGAATTGTGCCAAGTGAGGAGTGCTTGCATACACACTGGAGATTTGCTAAAATGTAAGCAACTGTTATGCGGAATCAAGATAATGTGAATCTTAGGTCCCATCCCAAGGACTTTGTTTTAAGAGGCTTAAGTTTTCTATTATAACATATATCACAGATAACATAATCCTAAGGCTTGGACTAATAAAAAAAAAAATTACAGTTAAGGAGCCACTATGACTTAGCAAAATGATGTTGGGAAACAAACTGTGTATTTTAAATGTGGTTATTTGTTGTTGTATACATTTTATACTTTAAACCAAATAAAGAAGTTACATTGAGAAGAACAAAGAGGCCCAACTTTCCTGTCCTGCCCTTCTATTTAACAATGAAACCCTTCCTGAGAAGGTGCATAAGTAAAAGTTCTCAGGCCCCAGGCTATGGCCTGAATTCATGAATCTTTTCCTTTGCTTATTTTAAAACTGCCGTGGAAGGTCAAGGGTAAAGGGTGAACTACTAAGTGTTTTCCTCTAAAACTTTTTATTTTTTTAAAATGGTAATTGAGACAGAAGAGGTGGAAATCCCTTTATATAATCTTCCCTTCTAGTTTATTCTCAACTCAGGATCCTGAAGTGAGAGCCAGCTACAGGAGATGTCAAAATAATGAAGGTGATGAACCTTCAGCTCAGCTCTTAAAGTGTCAAAAGATTGTTGAGAATTTAATTCCAGGGCATAAAAGGATTCCCAGAATTAAAATTCAAGATAGCAGTATATCCATCAAGACTCCAAGATAGGGAACATTTAAATTATTCCTGAAATATAGCAATGTATTCTTTATTTCAAACAATTTCAATGGATCAATGTTGATTTGAAAATCTGGGTGAAACAATGCTCATTTTATGTCAGAAACAGAAGAATTCTGAGAATTAAGGTTTTTCCTACCTTTCTGATAAGATCTGAGAGTTCCATTTCAGCTTTCTGCTGTGCCAAGTCAGATTTCACTTCAGAGTAAGTATCATTGATGATAGCCAAAAACATATTCTGTTTGTAAATGAAAGGAGGGCAAAAATTAAAGGAAGAAACATAATTTGGAATTATCAATCAAAAAAATGACACATGCCTTTTTGTTTATCCTTTTTTTCCTAATCTGAGTGCTTTATGAAGACATAAATTTATTATTTATTTATTTAAAAAAAAATTTTTTTTTTTGAGACAGAGTCTCACTGTGTTGCCCAGGCTGGAGTGCAGGGGCGCGACCTCAGCTTACTGCAACCTCTGCCTCCTGGGTTCAAGCAATTCTTGAGTCTCAGCCTCCTGAGTAGCTGGGATTACAGGCATGTGCCACTACACCTGGCTAACTGTTGTATTTTTAGTAGAGACAGTGTTTCACCACGTTGGCCAGGCTGGTCTCGAACTCCTGGCCTCAAGTGATCTGCCCGCCTCGGCTTCCCAAAGTGCTGGGATTGCAAGCGTGAGCCACTGTGCCCAGCCTGATGTAATAAATTAACAGTTTTGCTGCCACATGTTTTGGGAAGATTATTTTCTCCGTTAAGTCATGCCACAGGAAAAATTTTATGATATACTTTGTGAAAACATACAAGAATAAAATACAACAAAATATTAGTATATTTACCTACTAATGGTGCGATTATTTTATTTAATATTATTTTTGCTTATCTATGTTCTCTATATTTAGAAACTTTTACATACACTACTGAAGGGTATAGAATTCCAAAAAGCTCTTCAAATTTCAACAGTTAACACAGATAAGTAGAATTGTATGCTTATTCCAAGTTTTTTTGTATAATCATATATGAAATTTACAGGACACATTTTTAAAGAGTTTAAAAGGCTGTTGCAAATAGGAATACAGCAGGCCTACTAGGCAGATAGTAAAGAAAAAGTTTCTGGAAGAGAGATAGACTTTGGAGTCAAGCAAACTTGGATTTCAGTCCTAGCACTGCTAAGATTGTTGCTCCACTTTTCTAAGTCTAATTTTAAAGAATTATTTAATTGTTTTACATTAATAAAATGGGAAAAATAATAGTATCTCCCTTACATATTTGTTGGGCTGGTTAGTGAGACAATCTATGTAAAGTGCTCAGGACAGGTCCTGATGCAGGTAAGTGCCACCTAATTGATAGCTACTATTACTATTCAGTAATGGTGAGTTCATTTTTCTGACCTTTCCCTTCCACAGTAGTAATGGTTTGCATTTCCAACAACAAACTTTCTCGAAGCACTGTATCCAGGAGATCAGGTTCCCCCCCACCAACTTTTTTTTTACTTTGTTTTTCCTTTTTAACACATAACTGTGGTTTGCAAGTATTTCTATTTGATAATGTCTGTTTTCCCCACAAGTCTGAGGAATCTTCGTAAGGGCCTAATCAGGCTGTTTTCCTTACCCCAGTACTGGCAGTATCTAACATACTACCTCATAGTACACAATCCACAAAAAACACTACAGTGTGTATTATACAGTATATATGATATATATATATATATGGATATAGTGGCTTAGTAAATACTTATTAAATGATTGAGAAATGAACAAATGAGAACGCTCTTATTTTAGTGGGCTATGAATTTCTGTATTAAGGAAGAATATTGTTTACAATTCTGTAGCAGAAATGAGAATAGAATATAGAATACATATAAGTTTTTGACTAAATGCTCAATTCCAAGTGCAGATAATTGCAGTCCAAGTAACACCTTCTACCTTCTCTCTTCCAACTCAGGGATCTAATGTTCTATTTTTGCTTCCAAGTGGCTGTTAACTAATGCCTGCCAATACCTTAATTGAAACAGATCAAAGTCTGGGACCTCTAAAGAGATTTCAAAAAATAGAAAGTGCTTGAGAAAGGCTCTTGAAGGTGTGGGAAGAGGAAGCTAGCTCACCCTCCTCTCCATCCTGTCTCCCGAGGTTCCCTGAATTATCAGATGGACATCTGCACCAGGATGTCTTTCCTGTTGATGTGGGGGAAGAGTGGGGTTATCCTGGTTCAGCTGAGCCACTTCTTAACACTGTGCCTTCTTGCTAAACAGGGGCAATAAACTAATACCAGGCAATCGGCTCAGAAAGGTGGCCAACCCTATGCTCAGCTTGTCATTTCCTTAAAAGACAGGTTTGTATTGAAAGTAGACTTCTATCTATGTATGTGTCTATGTATGTATGTATGTATGTATGTATGTATGTATGTACGTATGTATGTATCTATCCACCTATATCTCTGGGAGGTGCAAGGAGAGCAATTCTTTTTTGTGCAGTCGTACAAAAAAACAATTTTAGTATAAAGATAGAAACTAAGAGCTTCTTTTCATGTTCTGGTGACTGATCTGGTAAGATGACTGAATACTCTAGATCTGGTAAGATGGCTGCCTACTAAAGGACCACATTCAAACAATTCCACATTTGAGCCTTTCCAGTTGCCACGACTCTATCCATCCTTGTTTGGCAGATTGATAAACGGAGAAAACTAGGTGGCCTGAGATCAACTGAAGGGTCAGGTGCAGGACTCTCAATTCCTGGTTTTTGCCTTCTTAGTAGAGATTCAGGTACTCTAGAATCCGAAGTACTATCAATGGTAGAGTAACAGAGGCTTATTCTTCTCTCCATTGTTTTAATATATGATAGGAAGAAGAAGCTTAAGAGGTGTAAGTTTAAAAATGAGCCATAAACCATGCATACAGCAAGATACATATGAACTTGAATGATATTCCTGACCTTTTCAGTCCTGTTAAAGTACAGCTAGGGAACACACCTTTGTTTTACACCAGAGGCTGTGTCTCCCCGGAAAAAAAATTTTTTTTAAACAGGAAATTAATACAGTACATCTAATACCCAATCAATAAATACCATATACTTAACCAGTAATACCTGGACTGACTTTAGAGTTATTACACTGAATTACTGAAAATGTGATCACTTAACCTTCCTCAAGGGATCTTTACACAATTTACTGAAATGGAAAAAATGTTATTTTCTTAAGAAAATTGTTCTTAAGATGACTGTTAGTGTTTAGATGAAAAATATTGCCTAAATTAAGCTGGCTTAACACCTTCTCAGTAGACAATTGAATATATAAATGTTAAGAAAAAGAACAAAACACCTTAAAAAAACTTAATTGACTTAGGGCAAAAACATTAAAAATGTTCATTTGTACCAAATCAAGAGAATAAAAAAATTATTTTTGAAAATAATTTTAATGCAATTTCCATTCATTGTTACATTTAGTTTTAAACTTAATTATTTGAATATTCTCTGTAGGCAGTCTCTAGATGAATGGGATATAAATAATTTAAAACAGAATATCCTAATTTTGACATGCAATGATTCACTCAACTATTACTCGACATCTTAGATCTAGCTTGCTTTTCCGTTCTTATTTTTTAAAAAGAAAAGAAGAAAGAGAGAAAAGTCATGCTAGCAAGTGACTACGAAAGTGCTGACATATGAGTTTAAAAAGCATGTAAGCATATTCTACTTTTTAGGCAAAGCACTATTTTAGGTATCTTTATAAATTTGTACTTGATCTAATTTCTTTTTTGCATGGAATAGATACATATATAGAGAGAGAAATGAAAGACCATGGAAGAGATCTAATTTTTTTTGCATTGAATAGACACATATACATGGATCAATGAAAGACCACAGAAAAGACATTTGATATGAGTCTCAAAACTGTGAATTAATAAAAGGAAAATAAGTTTTCCAACATCCACACTTTTTTCTACTTCCTGGGTCTTTATTTAAAATTGATAGGACATAAAGTGTGAGAGAAAAGAGAAGACAAGGATTTACGAAGTTTAAATTGAACCTCACTATAAATAAAAATGTACATACCAAAAGAATGAAGAACATAAAGAACACAAATGTAGTGAAATAAATTGGTCCCAAAACTCGATTAGCTTCCTCAATCTCTGCAAAGTTGATATCGCCCAAAATGATACGGAATTGAGTGAAGCTATAAAAATAAAACAAAACACCACAATACAAAAACAAAGAATGTCCACTAGTTGATGCAACATTTCTTAAAGATGATTTCATTATTTTTGGACCTTTTAGCAGTATAGGTAGCTGCCGAATAACAGAAAATTGTCAATCCCATTTACAAAGTCTTGCTACTTGTATCAGCAATTAAAGCCTTCTGCAATAATAATAAAATGCTTTCATGCTACAGAGGTTATTTCCATTTGGTTAAAAAGAAAACACAAGCTGGGCACGGTGGATCACGTCTGTAATCCCAGCACTTTGGGAGGCCGAGGCGGGCGGATCACGAGGTCAGGAGTTCGAGAACAGCCTGGCCAATATAGTGAAACCCCGTCTCTACTAAAAATACAAAAATTAGCTGGGCTTGGTGGCGTGCGCCCATAATCTCAGCTATTCGGGAGGCTGAGGCAGGAGAATCGCTTGAACCCGGGAGGCAGAGGTTGCAGTGAGCTGAGATTACACCGCTGCACTCTAGCTTGGGCGATGGAACGAGACTCCATCTCAAAAAAAAAAAAAAAAAGAAAATACAATTATTATTCAATAACTTATAAAGCAATTGGCTATAACATTTCAACACATAATCTAGGTAAAACATCTTAACCCTAAACCTTGACAACAGTCACCCTCGGTCTAAAGTTAAAAATTTCTTTAAAAAAAAAACAACAGGGCCTGGTGTGGTGGCTCATGCCTGTAATCCCAGTACTTTTGGAAGCTGAGGTGAGAGGACAGTGTGAGGCCCTGGAGTTCAATACCACCCTGGGCTACACAGTGAGATCCCTTCTCATAAAAAAAGTTAAAAATTGGCCAGGCATGGTGGCATACACTTGTAGTCCCAGCTACTCAGCAGGCTGAGGCAGCAGGATTGCTTGAGCCTAGGAGTTCAAGGCTGCAGTGAGCTATGATTGCACCACTGCACTCCAGCCTGGGCAACAGAGCAAGACCGTGCCTCAAAAACAAAACAAAACAAAAAAAAACAAAACAAAAAAACCCCAAAAACCCAAAATGGTTTGAGTTCAAAGATCCAATATTCTGACAAGTACTTAAAATGGGATCAAAGTGGCCAAGTGTTGTCAGTGCTGGGTCTTAGCAAAATCACTTTTATCAACAGCAATATTAATTCGAGATATCTATGCACAAAACCCTATTACTTCCATTCCTTTTTAAACTAACTCCTTTCTAAATGGCATAGAAATCTGACACTGGCTGCTTTTTGTTGTTTTATTTCACATTTGGGATCTTTGGAAAAAAAAACTGAAAATTCTTGTACTGGTCTGAGTTTACCTTAGAATATTAGAAATATCTTGTTTTTTTCCTTAGAAAATAACTTGAAGTTCTAAATATATGGCAACAATATTCAACAGGAGTAAGAATATAGGCAAACAGCCTTCTAGAAGCTACCATCTGCATTTGGTGCAAAGAAAAACTCAGTCTTCAGAACAGTGTTGGTTTCCTATGTCTGTTAACTGTATTTTACTACTTTGGGCTGCTATCTTAAGCATCAGCATTTCAGGATGCATTGTCTTCTTTGCATGGGTAGATCAATGTTTTGGGAAAAGGTAATTAATTCTTACTTAAAATAACTGGTTTTAAATAATTGGTGGTCATATAGCAACCTCATATGAAGATTTATTCTTGAGAAGCAGTGACAACTCTGATTAAATTTTTCTTCTTAATTTCATATATACTTACATACACTCTTGGAAAGTACTGAAGTCATCGACCTGAGTGCCAAAGACAAGGTATGCCAACTGAGCATACGCTAGGAAAATAATGAAGAACATAATAGCAAAGCCAAACAGGTCTTTGGCACATCGAGACATGGTTGTCGAGAGCTGGCTCATGGTCCTGTTAAAATTGATGAATTTGAAGAGCTGTAAGAGAGAGAAGACATCAATAGATGAATGGATAAACAAAATGGTGTGACTGTATATAATAAAACATTATTTCATCCTGAAAAGAAATTAAATTCTGACAGGTTACAACATGGATGAACCTTGAAAACATCATGCAAAGTGAAATAAGCCTGACACAAAAGGACAAATACTGTATGATTCCACTTAAATTAGGTACTTAGAATAGTCAAACTCACAGTGACAGAAAGTAGAATGGAGGTTACCAGGGACTGGGGGAATTGGGAGTTAGTGTTCAATGGATACAAAGTTTCAGTTTAGAATAATGAAAAAGTTCTGAAAATAATGCAGCATAATGGCGATGGCTGCACAACACTGTGAATGTACTTAATGCCACTGAATTGTACACTTAAGCATGGTTAAAACAGTAGGTTTTATGCTATCTACAATTAAAAAAAAAAAAAAAAAGGCTGAGTGCAGTGGCTCACATCTATAATCCCGGCACTTTGGAAGACTGAGGCAGGAGGATCGCTTGAGCCCATGAGTTTAAGATCAGCCTGGGCAATATGGCAAGATTCTGTTTCATTAGAAAATAAAAATAAATTAGTCAGGTGTGGTGGCACACACCTGTGGTTTCAGCTACTCAGGAGGCTGAGGTGGGAGGGTTGCTTGAGCCTGGGAGGTCGAGGCTGCCGTGAACTGTGACTAGTGATGCTTTCCCCCCAAAAAGGATTAAAGTAAAAGGGAGGGAAAAAACTTCACACAAATAAAAATTAATTATAAAACCCCCCAGGAAATTCTTGTTGCATAATATTAACTGTCATTTATTGTGCATCAGTTATATGTGGAGGGCTTTATGTACATTGCCTCAAATCTCTGCAATGTCTGAAATATTGGCATTCTATCCCCAGGAGTCAGCTGGGGCCTGCAGCCAGCTGCCCTGCCTGAACTGCAAAGCCTGCTCTGCCTGACTGCAAAGAAATATTGAGCATGTTGGTAGATAGTGAACCCTGCTGGTAGACAGTGAACCCTGCAAAGCCATATTGAGCATGTTGGTAGATAAGGCACTGAGGATGGCTGCCCAGATTGTGTAGCTCTAAGTAGAAGCCTCAGTGGAAGAGCACATGATGAGATATTAGAAGTAGAGTCATGAGGCCGGGCGTGGTGGCTCAAGCCTGTAATCCCAGCACTTTGGGAGGCCGAGGTGGGTGGATCACGAGGTCAGGAGATCGAGACCATCCTGGCTAACACGGTGAAACCCCGTCTCTACTAAAAATATAAAAAATTAGCCGGGCGTGGTGGCAGCCGCCTGTAGTCCCAGCTACTCGGGAGGCTGAGGCAGGAGAATGGCGTGAACCCAGGAGACGGAGGTTGCAGTGAGCTAAGATTGTGCCACTGCACTCCAGCCTGGGCGACAGAGCAAGACTCCGTCCCAAAAAAAAAAAAAAAAAAAAAAGTAGAGTCATGATCCCTGCCTTAAAGACCTTAATGATAAAGTATCGAGGGGCAAGACATTTCCAAGAGAAGCACTAAATAAAACACATCAGCCTGAGACACATGTTGTAGGAAAATCTCTAGAAGTTTAAAGGTCTGTTACACATTGTTACTGGCCACAGTGAAATATTTCTTGAGGATTGCTGTAATCACATTACTTAATCATTACTTAATACAATCCCAATTCATTTGAGATCTTTTTTTTTTTTTTTTGAGACGAAGTGCTGCTCTGTTGCCCAGGCTGGAGTGCAGTGGCATGATTCAGCTCACCGCAACCTCTGCTTCCTGGGTTCAAGCAATTCTCCTGCCTCAGATTCCCAAGTAGCTGGGATCATAGGCACGTGCCACCACACCCAGCTAATTTTTTTTTTTTGTATTTTTAGTAGGGACAGGGTTTCACCATGTTGGCCAGGCTGGTCTCAAACCCGACGTCAGGTGATCTGCCCGCCTCAGCCTCCCAAAGTGCGTGAGCCACTGTGCCCAGCTGAGATCTTGATTATTATTACTATCTTGATTATTATTACTATCTTGATTATTATTATTAAACTAATAATAATCAAGGAAACTTCAGTAATTCTCAGGCAGCACCTGCCATCCTTTCACCAGCACAGGCTCTGACTGTGCTATCCAAACATGTGTGGATATCTAAATTCAAATTTAAATTAAGTAAGATTAAATACAATTAAAAATTCAGTCCCTTGGTCCTACTAGCCACATGTTAAGTGTTCCATGCCTATACATGGTTAGTGGCTACTGTCTAGGACAATGAAAATATAGAACATTTCCATCACCACAGAACATTCTTATTACTATTATTATTTTTGCTGTTTGATTATTATTACTATGTTATGATCAAGGTTTTGTGCTTTAGTGATGGTTTCTCTTGAACAAGCATGTCAATAAATAAATAGCATGAGAAATACAGGATAAAGTCTATGCATTTTTTTTTTTTTTTTGAGACAGGGTCTCACTCTGTTGCCCAGGCTGGAGTGCAGCGGTGCGATCTTGGCTCACTGCACCCTCCGCCTTCTGGATTCAAGCAATCCTCCCGCCTAAGCCTCCTAAGTAGCTAGGACTACAGGCACGTGCCACCACCCCCAGCTAATTTTTGTATTTTTAGTAGAGATGAGGTTTTGCCATGTTGCCCAGGCTGGTATCAGACTCCTGGGCTCAGGGGACCTATCTCGGCCTCCCAAAATGCTGGAATTACAGGCATGAGCCACTGCGCCTGGTCCAAGTCTATGTCTTGTGATAAACCTCAGGTCTTCTAGGTATGAATACCAACTCAGAAAAGTACATAACGGGTAAGTACCTTCCAGAACAGTGCTTTTCAAGAGAACGTTCTGTGATGATGGAAATGTTCTACATTTCCACTGTCCTAGACAGTAGCCATTGAACACTTAATGTGTGGCCAGTAGGACCAAGGAACTGCGTTTTTAATTGTATTTAAGCTTAACTAATTTAAATTTGAATTTAAATAGGCACATGTGGCTAGTACTTACTGTCTGGACAGCACAATCAGAGCCTGTGCTGGTGACCGAATGGCAGCTGCTGCCTGAGAATTATTGAAATTTCCTGCATCTCCAGAATTGAGGCTTGTTGTATATGAAATGTCATAACCTTTCACACACATGGAAATGCACATTATATCTTGGGACAATAAGGAAAATAGTGAGCAAGGAACTATTTGGAAGCAGTGTCTGTTCCAACCTTAATTCTAGGTAAAGCTTCCCTTACAGCCTCTACCTGGAAAAGAGGCGATCCCTTCTAGCAAGCATTTCCAAGTGCAGCAACTCTCCCCTTCCCTCCACCTGCTCCTTCCCTCTCTTTCTCTAAGTTCCTTTTCCTTCACCTGTTCATCTCATCTGTTAGCAGCCTGGGGCCCCAGGCCCAGCTAACACACTGAAAGGCCTCTTACTGCATTTGTTAAACAAAACCTATAGGGACTGATCTTGCACTAATTCAGATAGCAGAAGTATGTCATTGACAGTGAGAGGAATGATCACATGAGTCTCAATAGTTTACTTTATATGTAAAATATGAGGCCTGGCACGGTGGCTCATGCCTGTAATCCCAGCACTTTGGGAGGCTGAGGTGGGAGGATTGCTTGAACCCAGGAGTTCAAAACCAGCCTGGGCAACATAATGAGACCTTGTCTCTACGAAAAAATTTAAAAATTAGCCGGGTATGGTGGCACATGCCTGTAGTCCCAGTGACTTCGGAGGATAAGGTGGGAGGATCGCTTGGGCCTGGGAAGTCGAGGCTGCAATGAGCTGTAATCATACCACTGCACTCCAGCCTGGGTGACAGAGTGAGACCCTGTCTCAAAGTAAATATTGAGCAGCTTTGGCTGGTCACTTGAATTTCAAATTCAAGTATTCCATGATTTTGTGGAACTCATTTTTTTTAAAGAAAATATTATTTAAAATGTAGAACATGAAATTTATAAATTACCTTAATCCAGACAAAAAATACTGTGACAGCAGCTATATTGTTGAACTGTATCTGCCAATATGCCAGATGCTCAAAGTTGGGGAAAGTATTTTGATCTTCCAGAAACTGTAGTAGCACCTCCACATTTGATGTTCTGTATATGTTAATTCCTATAGCTACCACTGACAGCTGAAAAGCAAAATATTTATATTTTATTACAGTGTTTTAGAAATATGAAACTTACCTTAATATGACTAGTATATTTTTCTTCACCAATGTATTAATTATAAGGGCTCACCATTATACTTACCCGATGTCATTCTTAAAAGTCACTCACTCAAATGGAAAGTGTTAAGCCCTGCCATAAAATAAGTAAAACAGTATATTGCTTGCATTTCCTTAGTTCGGAATAGAAACTCAACGAAGGCATGCATGCATGTGTGTGCACATATACATTACACACACATACATGCATACACAGAAGAGATCACACTATAACAGACTCAAACTCAAAGAGGAATGCTTTCTGTTTTTTCTGCCACCTTCATTTTAATCACTTTCCACCCTTTTGCTTTCTTGCCTTCATCCTGCTGTTTTTATTTGTGATTTTTAAATTTAAAATTTTTCGGTTTCTCTGCATTCTCCAATTGCCAGCCATTCTTTGCTCTGTTTAACAAAAATATAGTAGATGTCTATGTATACAGCACTGTGCAAGGGCTAAGAGGAATAAACAGAAGTAAACTGCATAAATCCTGCCCTCGAGACTCAAGAGCAGATAAACACATGAAGTTAAATAATACAAAAAACTACTAAAGAGTTGGTATCACACAACATAAAGTCAAGAGGGACAAAAGATATCCTAAAAATGAGTGCCCATGAGAACAAAGCATGAGCTTGGGCTTGAAAGACAGTGGGAATGATGAATACAGAGGGCTCAAGAAGGCCTGCAGTGGGAATATATGAGCCAAGGGCTTCTCTCTTGCTCATTTCTGTCCCTTAACTCATGACCCTACAACTTTCCACATATGCTTTGGTTCTAAGCTTTACAATCAGATCCAAGGGGACACTGCCCCCTCCTTGGCATCCATCACCACTAAATGTAGACAGTGCTAGGGGTTAGTCATAACAACCTGGCCCCACCAGGGGGTCTGAATCTGCAGCAGGTGGGCTGTGGCAGGTGCTGCGATCTTTGCTGTCCATTCTCTCTTCTTAGGAATCATGGCCAGAGACCACTTCATTAGCCCTCCCTTCCTGAGATGACCATAGAGATCATGGTCCCACTGATTCTCATAGCAAAGACCAGCTTGGTTGCTGATCACAGCTAAAAAGCCAACCTCACCATCTTCCTTTCCTTCCTTCTCTGTGAAGGATTTCCAGAGCCAATCTTGTATTTTTGTGTTGGTGGTGGGAATGATGAACACAGCAGACTCAAGAAGGCCTGCAGTGGGAATAGGCTTCTCCTGAGATGAGGAGCTCATCTCAGCTAATACATGTAGAAAAACATTTGGGTTGGTGGACTGGATCCAATGGTAACTCTTTACCCAACTCTCAATAGGTATAATTTGTTATGCAGTCCAGTTGTTTTTACTCTGCACAGGACAAATGTTTATAAAATAATGAAGAAGATGGTCATTTATACAACATCAATGTCTTTGAAACCTTTCCTTCCAAATAGGGAATGAAAGATGAGGAAAGAGATTTTGTGAGCATTTGCATTGTTACATCACTCCTGAGTTTTCTGTGGGATTCTCATCCCTATCTACAAAAGAACTTTCTCTCCATACCAGAAAATTGGGAGGGCAGAGATTTGGGTGATTTTGTTCATTCCTGTATCCCCAGTGCCTAGAACAGTGGCAAGTACATAGTAGGTGCTCAGAAAACACTCGCTGAATAAATGAATTAGTCGGGCCAGGCGCGGTGGTTCACGCCTGTAATCCCAGCACTTTGGGAGGCTGAGGTGGGCGGATCACGAGGTCAGGAGATCGAGACCATCCTGGCTAACTCGGTGAAACCCTGTCTCTACTAAAAATACAAAAAATTAGCTGGGCATGGTGGCAGGCACCTGTAGTCCCAGCTACTCAGGAGGCTGAGGAGGGAGAATGGCGTGAACCCGGGAGGCAGAGCTTGCAGTGAGCCGAGATGGTGCCACTGTACTCCAGTCTGGGTGACAGAGCAAGACTCCATCTCAAAAAAAAAAAAAAAAAAAAAAATTTACCCTGTACAACCTAGCAAGTGGTCAATAAATTATTTGAGTTTAAATTCCTTAATAGTCTTCTTTTTTTCAAGTAATTCTTCTAGTTTTGAAAGACTATTGCTCAGGACAAATGGCTGACTGATGCAGCCTGTGTACTTCAGAACATATGTTGGGGAAAGAAAAAAGGAAAATAAAGAAAATTTCAAAGTGATTTCAAGATGTGATTGTATTTATATTAAGAATATAATTTCTTTTCAGGTTTTGGGTAAGCATAAGCAAATTTTGGCTAGATAAAACAAAAAGCGTTGGGTCTTTCCACTGGTTTGAAGGTCCAGTGGAGCACAGGGTGTGTTTTGTGGGTGAGCAGAAGGCATGCCCTCACTTCTACACTTGGTCAGCAAAAGTTTCAAAGGACAAGTGAGATTCCAGTAGCCCTTCCTTGTTCTTTATAAACAAAAAGCACACTGTCTGAATTGTTGTCTGGCAGTATTAAGTGTTGTTTAAAAAAAAAATTGAAAAACACAGTGAAGCAAGTTTTCAAAGAAACACTTGCAAAATGCTGTGGCTGTTGAGCCAAAGAGACAATTTCCATGATATCATTGCCTTTCTTCCTATTGGTCGCCAAAGCAGGTGCAAGGCAATTCACTGGGCTATGGGAAGAAAATGTTACAACTTCTAGGTAGGTGGTAAGAAAGTTTTGGAATTCTATTTGTATTAACTTTTATTCCAATCTTTAAAATTCTATGTATGTGTATGTTTTACGGATGTACCTGTTACACCAAAGTAGGCACACAATTTACAAATAAAGATAATAAATTAGGGTGTGTAGTAGTCAAAGCTTTCACTGATAGGTGTGTATGATCAAAAAGGGTGAATACCACTGACTAGTCTTTTGTTGATATTGAGTTCTTTGGTTAAAATATAAAAAGGAAGTCTGTTCTTAATTAGCATATCATACTTACCTTTCTACCATTATTTCAATGGCCTAAACATAAATAAATCCATATAAGCCAAGAGGCAGGGTTTGCATCCTTTTAGCTCCAAACAATAATTGTGTTCTGGAATAATTGTCAATGTATATGGCCTGCACTCTGCCATCAATCCGAACAGAAATATTCTGAAAAATTATTTCCAGTATTATCGTCTCTCCTGTTTCCTTAAATGCTAAAATTCTTGTGTAACTCTGTTCATTATTAATACATTGAGAATTTGGGGATCAAGGGTTTACCTTGATTTGTGTGATGTTGTATGGCCATCGTAAAAGACGGGATGCACTTCTAACTGCATCACGGTCTGATGGGGTCAACACCATCTATTCTACAGGAATTTTTACTTTAAGTAAAAACTCTAAAGTGCACATATCCATGGCTTGAGAGGCAGTGGCAGAGTAGTGAAGAGGGTTAGTATGAGGAACAAATGAGCTTCTGTACCATGAAAAGCACCCGGAAATGCCTAACACAGAAGCTTCTAAAGTGTTAGCCATTATTATTATTACTATTACAATTATTATTGCTGCTAATATAGTTATTGCCATGCAATATATGGCCATGTAGTTCTTTTTTATGCTTTAAGTGTTCTTTCACTCACATATGAATAATATATTTTCCATATTTTATCAACTATTAATAATTCTAGTGGGGAATAGTTTAATAATGACTTGATCTAAATACTCCACAAAGGCCAAATGAATTTTTAGGAGTGGGATGAGGGAAAGAATAACTCTCATAAGGAGGGCTAACAGAAGAGAGAATGCTAATAGGGTAGTGCATCATTTACTGAGATTTCAGAAGGTAATGGCTATCATAGGACAGTGGGAAGGAAAGACATAGAATAATACATGGTACACCTATGCCAAGCAAAGCTTGTAAGCATCTAATAATTAAGCATGTTGTTATATGCTTAAATGTACAACTGGACTTAGCGAAATGTTACCTGTTATTGCTGAAGGGAGAAAAGCTTGTAAAAATTCTTTTATACACTGAAACCACAGGAAGGAAGTGACGGATGCTTAATTAAGTGATAAGGATGAAGGGAAAACATCTTGAAAAAAATCTTAGAAGTTATAATAGAGTCAAGAGCAGACACAGAATTTACATGGTGTCATGGTCTTGATTATGACTCTGCCTTTGATTTATTTTTTATTTTTATTTTTTAGAGATGGGGTCTCACTATGTTGCCCAGGCTGGTATCAAACTCCTGATCTCAAGTGATCCTCCCACCTCAGTTCCCTAAAGTGCAGGGATTATAGGTATGAGCCACTGTGCATGGCCTGCCTTTGATTTCTTATACCTCATACAGAAAACTTTGATGAATATAACTTACATTTGTACTCTGCAGACTATTTGCAGAAAATTTTAAACTGCAGAAAGTTTTCTCTGCCGCACAAAATATTTTCAGGATGATTTTTCTTTTTTCTTTTCTTTTTGAGGCAAGGTCTCACTCTGTCACCCAGGCTGCAGTGCAGTGGTGCATTTATAGCTCACTGCAGCCTCAGCCTCCTGGGCTCAAATGATCCTCCCACTTCGGCCTCTGGAATAGCTGAGACTACAGGTGTGTGCCACCATGCCTGACTAATTAAATTTTTTTTTTTTTGTAAAGACAGGGTCTCACTATGTTACCCTGGCTGGGCTTGAACTCTGGGGCTTAAGTGATCCTCCTGCCTTGGCCTCCCCAAGTGCTGGGATTACAGGCATGAGCTACCACACCTGGCCGACAAGTTTTTTTATTGCTGTAACTTCACACATGTGCAGGAAAATATAAATTGATTTTTACCAGCAGTTGAAGAAAAATATCATTAGTGGAAAAAAAAACAAAGAAAAAAAACTGTTTTCTCCTCCACATCTCATACGGCATACTAAAGCCAAATATGAATTACTGAGATACTCTTGTTATTAGCGTGGCTGAGAGCATACTGTAAATACCTCTCCACTTCATACTCAGCAAAGTTACTCATGCAAAATGAGAAAATAATTAGTAACAGAAGTTGATATAATTGAGGGGGACTTTTAGATTCTTTTTTGGGAATATCAAGATCCACAATGCTGAGGAGATCAAAGACTCTAGTTAACATGCTTGTAGAATAGAATAGGAAATTTGGTGTTGTTCTCAAACCTACCACAACGATCACAACATCCAGACAATTCCAGAAACTCCTGAAATAGTGTAGTTTGTGAATGCGAATTTCCAATATCTCTTCCACCACATAGTAAAAGATAAAGAAACAAAAGATAATCTCACAGGCTGCCAGGAAGAAATCAAAAGTTGTGACATATCGGATCAGCTTTAAAGGCTGAAATTGCCAAGATGGAATCACACCACCTGTTGCTGGGAATTCAACCAATAACCTGCATGTAAATAAGAACAATTAAAACAATAACAACAACAACACATGAATACAGCCAGGAATGGATGTCCATCTGTTCTGTTCATGCATTACAAGGTAATGAAACTGCTACCATGAGTCCCCCCAAACTAGCGGCAAAACATTTTTATCATAGCTAATAATTCCATACTTGGAGAATTTTGTGCCATCAAAGGAATAAGACTTCCTGAGGTCTTTCAGTCCCAAAGGAGTACTTCCTGCTCAGTCTTCCCTACACTTTTCTATATTTACGCTGCTCAACATGCCATATACTTTTAATGTAAAAGTAAATCAACACACAAACTTTTCTAGGACTTCTGTTATTATTTTTTTAAGAGACAGGGACTCGCTTTGTTGCCCAGGCTGGAGTGCAGTGTTGCAATCATAGCTCACTGCTGCCTCAAATTCCAGGGCTCAAGGGATTCTCCTGCCTTAGCCTCCTGAGTAGCTGGGAATGTAAGTGTGCAGCACCATGCCCAACTAATTTTTTTTTTTTTGGCAGAGACTGAGTCTTGCCCTTTTGCCCAGGTTGGTCTCAAACTCCTGGGCTCAAATGATCCTCCTGCCTGGGCCTTTCAGAGTGCTGGAATTACAGGAAGGAGCCACCATGCCTGGCCCTAGGACTTCTATTAAATTCAAGTCCTTCTACTAGGCAACATGAAGAATATAAAGAAATATAAACCATCCACTCAAAACATGTGTAATCTGGTTGAGAAGTAGGATATATTTTGTACATATATAAAGATAGGAACTGAGTCATTCATTCATTATGTAACACCTAAATAGCATCAAATAGTTTGTCCTCCAGGGTAGTTTTCTCTCTTCTTCCCAGAGCCTTATAGTTAATAGGTGGGTACTCAATAGATGTCTGATTGTCTAAAACATACACTATTTTACATCCATACTGATGGCTCTGATCTTTACTGCTTTACCATAACTGGACTGAGGGTTTTTTTCTTGTCAAATGCCCATTTTGTAGGTGTCACACTGAGAAAGCTGGGTGATTCAGTTAATGATACAGACTTCTTTTCTAACTAGAAATAGAATCTCTAGCTGCTTCATTTTGAGACATTTAAAAGCCCTTTAGTCAGCTACTAGCCATCACTATCTCTGCCATTACAGGACAGGTAGCCGCACCTGGAACCTGAGCATACAGGACACATGCATGAGCAATAATCAAGTAAAAACAGGACTATGGTAAATTAGAACTGGTCAGAGAAGTGTGAAAATTTTCCTTCCTTTTCATTGTCAGTTCTCCTGTTCTTTCTTTCCTATTTGATGTGTTAGAGAGTAGGGGTGAGAATCAAAAACTCAGGAGAGCAACTCTGAAGCCAAGAGCCTTGTATGTGACAGCTTCATTGGGAACTCAAAAGGGAAGGAAGTGGCCTTCAAGTGTCAAGTCATTTCTCTGGCCCATTCTGGCCCTGCAGTAGTCAACCACTTCCAGAAACTTAGAAAAACAGTATAGAGAAATGAAGCAGTTGTCTTAACAATGTTCATCCTTAAAGTAAGGGAGGAAGCAGAAGAAATACTCAAGACCTTCTATAAATAGAATTTACTAAAATATCAGAGTTGCCTCTCTGTTTTTATTCTCTTCCTTTTTATTCTTTTCTTTTTATCTGCACTGGAATAATTAGGAAAAACTCAATAATACTGCAATAGATTTTCATTCATTTCTAGTGATAACTACTACTGGACTACTGGTTGAGTATTTCTTTTCTTTCTTTCTTTTTTTTTGGCCACTGTGAGCAAGGACAGCTTGAGTATTTCTAATGTGAAAATCTGAAATATAAAATGCTTCAAAATCCCAAACTTTCTGAGCACCGCCATGAACGCACAAGTGGAAAATTCCACACCCGACTTCATGTGACAGGTCATTGTCAACATGCTGGCACACAACAGTTGATTCAACATCCCTAAGGGAAAAATAAAATTTCCTTCAGGCTATGTGCATTAAGTTTCATTTATGAAACATAAATGAATTTTGTGTTTAGACTTGGGTCCCATCCCCAAGATATCTCATTATATATATGCAGACATTCCAAAACCTGAAAAATTTCTTAAATCTCAAACATTCTGGTCTTAAGCATTTTGGATAAGGGATAATCTATAATTGATTTAATGTGGTACTATTTTCTGCAAATGTTGTTAAATACAAGGACTGGGACAATCCAACAAGCCACATAAAGCAGAATTGAACTTAACCTCAAGAATGATGACAAAGACTATTATGAGAATAAACACTTCTTATCTTATGTGTAAATATACATGCAATAATCCATGTTAGTGATGTTTGGGTGTTGCTGACATGCTCACCAGGAAGATTAAAGTGGGTGAACTCTGACTTCCTCTTGCTCTGCTTTTTCTTTCTTTTTAATAGTACCTATTACCTTCTAATATACTATACTATTTATTTGTATTGTTTAATGTTTATTCTCTAGTCTCCTCCTGGTTGGATGCAAGCTCTGCCAAGGTGCGGATCTTTATTTTGTTTGCTGACATGTCCCAAGAGCCGAGAACAATGCCTAGCCCATATTAAGTGTCCAATGAATGTTTGCTGAATAAATGAATGAAGAAGAGTCCCAGACAAGCCAGTGGAATCTTTGTCATTTTTGTTACTATCTCACAGAGGGGTCATCATGGCAACATCCCAGGATCTGTGGAAGGAACTTTACGTGCCTTTGGTAGCCCTGAGCACGAGCAGGTAACCTGGGTATCCTACTGAGCATCCTACAAGCACTCCGGTTACTGTGCTTGTGTGCTAATAGCAGAGGCTCATCTGAGAGTGAGAAACTCCAGGAAATGAGTCAAGATTTGATGGCCGGGGGACTTGGTGATGGAACATGTGGCACTAACCATCCTTATAATGGGTAAAGACAGATGTTAGAAAAACACAATACTTTTTCTGGAAAGGTTCCAGCATTGAGATGAACTTGGACCAGAGTTATGGTTCTTTCCAACTCGTAATATTCTAGGATCCCAACTCCCTTCCTCAAATATCCTTTATTTCGGTAAGCCTTCAGTTTTTACCCCTCCCTTGCTATCCGTCTGGGTCCTTGGCATCCTCATGTAGCTAACTGCAGGCAAAGGTTTTTCTGGCTAACCCCAGAATAGGATGTATGTACAACCACACAGAAATAGGAGGGATGCATGTCCTCAGTACACACCTGACCACACAGAACAGGTTAATGTTGGCGTTGTACACTGAGAAGTCAATAAAAGTTGCCCTGGTTCCTCGGTCCAGCCAGACATTTTTCTTGAGGCTAGCAACTTGTGCAGCTGTTTCCTCTCTTGTTCTTGACAAATCCAGATAATAGCCAGCTCCACTATAAGTTGCAATGATTCCCCAGTGGCTACTACCATTCAAGTCTTTTTCACTTGTGTAGATCCAACTGATTAAAAACAAAACCAAAAAACAAACAGTTACAATCAGTGGAACACTTGAGGCAATTACAAGGACAGCTGGTTCCTTGTAAAATAAAGTATGTATTAAGGCCTATCAAGCTGGGTACTGTGCCTGACCTGGCAGTTCATGTTTTCTTGGTTAATTCTCATACTGTTATTAGCCTCTTTAGGAATGAGGGCCCTGAGGCTTAGTGAGGTCAATGTAGTCCCAAAGCTTTTGAGGGCAGACTCGGGAACCAATGCCAGGGCTGTTTGTCCCTAGAGCCTCTGCTCTGCTCTAGAGCCTCTGCTCAGTTTATACGGCTGCCTTCTCTGGGTAACTGTGCTCAGGGACTAGACGACTTGAGGTCCCCAGAGAAAATTACAGCCAAAAGAGGGACAAGTTCATCAAGTGGCATTGTCAGCATTTGGGAATTTCATCCACAAATATTCAGAGGATCTCTTAGAAAACAGATGCTTCTTCAGCACTAATGGGGATATAAAGGTCCTTTCCCTCCCAAATTTATAACAAGTAGGGAAATAAGAGTTATAATTAAACAAGTAAAATACAAGGTGGATAATAATAAGAAGCAAAAGAGAAAAGAAATAAGGCTGGCAGATCAGAGGAAAGCTGTCCTTATTTGGGGATCTGGCAGTGGAGGGATGGATTAGAAAAGGCTTTAGGAAGAAGCTGTGTTGGACCTGAACCATGAAAGGTGAGTAGGATCTGGACTTGCACAGGTGAATGGTCATATGGGTTGGCTGTGTCCCCAACCAAACTCATCTTGAATTGTAACTCCCACAATTCCCATGTTTTGTTGGAGAAACCCGGTAGGAGGTAATTGAATCATGGGGGCAGGTCTTTCCCATGCTGGTCTCATGATAGTGAGTAAGTCTCACGAGATCTGATGGTTTTATAAGTGGGATTTTCCCTGCACAAGCTCTCTCTCTTTGCCTGCTGCCATCCACGTAAGACGTGACTTGCTCCTCGCCTTCCACCATGATTGTGAGGCCTCCCCAGCCATGTGGAACTGTAAGTCCATTAAACCTCTTTCTTTGGTAAATTGCCCAGTCTCAGGTATGTCTTTATCAGCAGCATGAGACCAGACTAATACAAATGGGAAGGGCATTTTCAACCGTGAGCCATTGGTCAAGAGAAGAAGTAGTTCAGTTTGGCTCCCATAAGATAAAGAATGGCAGATTGAAAGGTGGTCTGTGGTCAGCTTGTGAAGGGCAAACATGAAGGAGTCTGTGAAGGGAAAGTTCTAAGAGGCACACAACAGGGCTGGTCTGGTGGCAGCAGGGAAGACTGGAGTGGGGAGGAACAGAGGGCTCATGTGCAGAAAAGAGTTAACACAGCAGGCCTGAGATGGCCTTTCTTTAGGAAGGCCTGTTTGCAAGGTTGGACTTTGGCTGGCATCTGGGAACTTGACTGATAAACAGCTCCCTGCACCAGTATTCAACTTTCCCTGACCGGTAAGAGAGGCTTGCTGTGCCTGTGCTATTTGTATAAGCAATGTGGCTTACACTCAACACCTGCTTTCCTTCTGAGAGTCGGGAATTTTGGCACATGCTAGTCATAAACCAGTACCAGTACCCAGTGAACACCCCAGGCACTGAGTCTCTAATTAATCTCTCTGATAGACATTTCACACATGTTGCTACAACTCGTTCCTGGAGAAATTCAGCACATCCTATGTGACCTCACTGGGAGAGGGCTCCTGGAAGCCTACACCAGGTTTTCCCCAGATATTGCCATGTGCCTTTTCTTTTGTATCCTTTCACCATAATAAACCTTAGCTGTAAGGATGCCTCTATGCTGAGTCCTTCTAGTGAATCACTGAACCTGGGGGTGGTCTTAGGGACCCCTGACACAGCTCCCTTAGCAAAGTCTGCAATAACCAAGAGGTAATGAGGCCTGAAGTCACTCAGTGAAGATGGGAAGGGAAAGGAAGGAGTGAGAGAGTGTCGTAACCACAGTGACTGCCAGCAGAACTTGGTAACTGATTTGGAAGTTGGGGCAAGGAGGAAACATGGCTCAAAAATGACTCTGGAGTCTCTTTCAGGGCAATAGGAAGACGGCAGTGCCATTAACAGAACAAAGAGCAGATCTCATAAGAAAACGATGAGTTTAGTTTGGGGCATATTAAATCACAAGAGGTGTGGGACATCCAGGTGGAATAGAGATGTGTCTTGTATCACTAGAATGCAAGCTCTGTGAAGAAAGGACGTTTCTTCTGTTTCCTGCTGCTTTGTTTCTCCAGCATCAAGGGCACTACTAGAAGAGGGGGGACTTCTAGCAATGGGAACATGCCTGGCACATTGTTGAAGAAATGATGAGTCACCAAATAAAGATGTCAGTGGAAGCCATCTGAATGTCATGGGAAAGAGAGAAAAGAAAGAAAAGACGGAGATATGAATATAGAACCTGGGAATAAGAGAAGTGAGAGAAAGGGGTTTCAGAGTTAAAAGAACCCAAAGTGTAGAGTTCTTCATGGAAGTCAAAAGAATGAGCGGTCAACACTGCCACTTTCTGCAGACAGTATGAAGGGGATAAAAACTGAGATTTGTTCAGTGGATTTGCTAACTAGAGGTCCCTAGTAGCTTCCTGGTGAGATGTCAAAAGCAAGAACCTAAGCTTTAAGACGTGAATTGATGGTAAGGAAATGGAAGTGGCAAATGAAGACTATTCTTCCAAGAAGTTTGGAGTTGAAGGGAAGAAGAAATGGGAGTGACTTGAGAATGTAGAAGAATAAAAGGATAGTTTAGATATGACAGGGAAGGTCCCCTTTGGCAATCCACCCTGGAGTAGAAATCACTCGAATGCATCCAGCACATATTTATTAGTATCTTTACATATGAGGCATTGTTCAAGGCTTTGAGAATACAGCAGTTAACAAAATAGAATCCCTGCCCTCAGGAAGCTTGAGTACTGATGGGGAGCTGAGAGCGTCGACAAGCCACCCTAACGACGCAATTAATATGGAGGAGGAATTAATATGGAAGAGGTTTAGTAGGCGAAACATGGGTTTTGGAGTCAGGCTGCTTAAATCTTGGTTCAGTCCAATTTGTTAGCTGTGACACTTTGGGCAAGTGAGCCTCAGTTTTTTCATCTATAAAATGGAGGTGATACCTATTTTAGAGTTGTTTTGTGAAGGCAGATGAGATAATGCGTGAAATAACTTCTTAAATAATGTCTGGCACAGAGCAGTGGCTGTATAAATTTATCTTATTAGTGATGTGAGATAAATAAAATATTGGAAAGGGTACCACAGATGAAGGCATGCTTATGCTTTGCAGGAACTACAAAAAGGCACATTAGAAAGCAAAATAAAGCTGGGCATGGTGGCATATTCTCATAGTCCCAGCTACTTGGGAGGCTGAGGCTGGAGGACTGCTTGAGCCCAGGAGTTTGAGGCCAGCCTGGGCAACATCAAGAAACTCTATCTGTAATAATTTTTTTTTTAAAGAAAGCGAAATCACTATCATAACTTGGATGATAATGTCCTTTGAGACTATTTAGTTCCTTTGTTCTAAAGCTCTGGATTTTCACTAAATTTGTTTTTTTTTTTTTTTGAGGGGGAGTCTTGCTCTGTTGCCCAGGCTGGAGTGCAATGATGAGACCTCAGCTCACTGCAACCCCCACCACTCGGGCTCAAGCAATTCTCCTGCCTCAGCCTCCCGAATAGCTGTGACTATAGGCACATGTCACCACACCCAGCTAATTTTTGTATTTTTAGTAGAGTCAGGGTTTCACCATGTTGGCTAGGCTGGTCTTGAACTCCTGACCTCAAGTGATCTGTCCGCCTTGGCTTTCCAAAGTGCTGGGATTACAGGCATGAGAAACTGTGCCCAACCTGGATTTTTACTAAATTTGTTTCTTATGGGTTCTGGTATTAAATAGAGTGTATACTGGAAGGTACAAGAAGAATATACTAATTGAAAAGGTGATTGCCCATTGTATAGTAACAAATGTGGATTCTGGGCAACTCAGTTTCCAAGAAAAGAACCTAGATGAACCGACAGAATTAGCTGAGCAAAGCTTAGAAGATGACTCCGACCAGTGACGTACCCAGGGACAGCAACCGCAAAGGCCCACCCTGAAACGGCCTTGGAGGTCTTCTTGTTTCTTTATAATAACTACAATACTTCTAAAATAGTAAGTGACCTCCCTTAATACACAAGATGTTTGAAGTAGGAGTACCAAAGTGTACAAAAAGCCCCTGTAAATATGCACGTGTACAAATATATACCTAAAATCTCAAACATTTGAACAAAATGGGCTTTAAACCTAACAAAAAATTGCCTCACAAGCTTACACATTAAATAACTCCATTCTGAACAAAAACCTGTTTGCAAGACCTATAAAAAGAGTTCCTGAACCAGAAAACTTGTGTTAAATAACTTAGTGGATGATGTTACTGCACCTGTAAAAACAGGGCCCAGGGCATCTTAAATGAAATTTTCAAACGCTCAGATAATTAATTTTTGAGGGGTTATATGGTCAACGATTTAGTCTTCTGAAAAATATGCATGTAGAAACTAAAAGAAGGCTAAGAAGTAGTGAAAACTTAAGAAGTCAAAGGTCAAGTTGGCCAAGGTTTAAATATAAGCACTGAAGAGTCACTGAACTTATTTTTGCCTTGGTGAAGGTGTCAGGGAATGAATGAATGAATGGTGGGAGTTCAGAGAATAAATGAATGAATATCACCGAGTGGCAATGAGTCACAGACACTTACGCGGTTCCATTTCGGGGCCCAAAGGGAGCCCTATCTTCACTACTGACAGAGTAGACATCATAGCACTCTTTAATTTCATCTCTCAAGTCCTGGGGGATAGAGCAGGATCCATTTCTGACTCGGAGTTGCCGTATTCGTGGAACCCCTAACAGCAGGTTCTCATAGAAGATGAAACTTCGGTTGTCAGCTTCAGTCTGGTTGCTGGGCTGCATCTTCCAGTACAGCCCATCCAATAAGGAGCCTTCTGTGAACTAAAAGCAAAGGAAACATCTCTGAAAAAGTTCCAAGCTCAGCCGCTGTCTTGCCCCTGCCTGCATCGTTTGCATAACCAAGCATTTGGCAACTCTATGAAAATAGTAGAGTGATAAGAATGAGTTTTGTTGTCAGAGAGATTTGGGATAGCATCTTGCCCCATCATTTGTTAGCTATGAGGCCTTGAGCAGGGTCCTCTGAACCAAGGTTCTTGCATCTGGAAAACCCATCTTTTGCATAGTTACTGCACCTGGCACAGAGTGGGTACTTAATACGTGGCAGCTCTGATTTTTGTTCTTGGACTAAAGGTGGGGTCATGATTAACTGCACTTTCCCTTATTAAAATAATGTCCCACACAATCATGGTTCTAAACTTTGTTTAGAGAAAAGGCTACAGTTTTGATTACCAGCCTGGCATTTGATAGACCTTTCACCTGTCTGGACTATTTTGCTGTATGGTGAACTCTCCAATCCCTCCTCGTCCCTTTAGTGATTGGCATTTATCATCATGGAATGTGTATACAAAAGTCTCTTGTTAGTTTGTACAACTAGCTATGCCTGTAGGGAAGACAGATCTATTTCTCAGTGTGCTATCCTTGTCAGATGATCAACAGAGATAGACTGATTTGCCCTACTCAGATGGTGAAAGATTCATATTATACAAGTGTGGTTTTGGATGCCAGGTACTTTTATATATGAATAGTTTCCTGTGACTCAGTTGTCTCTATCCTTAAAATCAACAGCTCTGACCCCAGGGTGTAGTAAGAATTTTAGAAACTATCTCCCCAAGGAGAAATAATAATTTCCTTTTCAATTTCCCTTCCAATTTTCTTAGATTCCAAGCCCCATATCCCTCAGATCAGTTTAATATTTTTCCTGTGGTATCACTCATTGGTATACTGTTAACTACGTTGGAATTTGTGACAACTTGGGAAGGGGCTGGATTGGGTTGAACTTCACAACAGCAGACCTTTTTTGTTTGTTTTTGGGTTTTTTTTTGGGGGGGATTTTTTTTGAGAAAGGGTCTCACTCTGTTGCCCCAGCTGGAATGCAGTAGCATGGCCATGGCTCACTGCAGCCTTGACCTCAAGCAATCGCTCAAGTGATTCTCCCACCTCAGCCTCCTGAGTAGCTGGGACTGCAGGTGTGTACCACCACACCCTGCTAATTCTTTAACTTTTTTGGAGAGACAAAGTCATACTATGTTGTGCCCAGCTGGTTTCAAAATCCTGGGCTAAAGCAATCCTCCTGCCTTGGCCTCCCAAAGTGCTGGGATTACAGGCGTGAGCCACCAAGCCCCACCAACAGCAGACCTTTGAAAGAATGTGCTTACTTTGAATCAAGCACTGTTCTAAGAGCTGGGGATACATGCCATCATCAACAAAGAGACAAAACACAAAAGGCGAAGCAAGACAGAAGAACCACACTGCCCTTCATTGGCCTTACATTCTAGGAGATTCTCAATAAATATTTATTGAATCTTGACTCATGGAATGAATTACAAACTAGGATGAAGTAGCTGTCAGGCTAGAAAAAAATCAATTTTTCTTGTTCCCTAGCCATGTGACCATACGCATTTAAACATCCTGAATCTCATTTTCCTCATTAACAAACTAGGGCATAGTCTTAGTACTTACCTTATAGAGTTAGACTATAGAAATTAAATAAGGTAAGATATGAAACACTCAGCACAGTGCAAGGCACAGGCAAAGTTCTCAATGTTAGTTTACCCCCTTTGAGAGTAGGAACAGTAACTTCTAACAACTCACCATAACTTACGTCTCACACAGTGTTAAATGCAAAGCAGGTCCTGTCGATACTCATGCATTGAAATGATGAAGCCAAATGAACAATTTTCTGTGATAGAGAGGTACTTTCAAAGTTATTTGCAAATACCTTCCAGAAGTCTTCCATGGAAGACAGAGTTTTAAAGTTAGTTTTCTCCGTTTTGGACACGGGGGTGTCTAGGAAGAGCTGTGACATCATCCGGGTGTAGTAGTACACATTGGAGCTCATCATGCCGTAGGTCACTGGAACACAGAAAGATCCAAATGAACGCCCCAAGGGAACCGGCACACATTCACATACCAGCAGCCTTCACAAAGGGATTGTTCCTGTGGATAAACATTTTGGACAAATTCACACAAGGTCTTCTCTCACCCTTGCCTTCCTTTCCCCTATCATTCTTCTAGGGTATCTCTCTATATCTCTGGCTTATAAAAGAAATACGTAATATTAATATTGGCTTATGGGAAACAAAATTGGCTTACTATTGAGTATCAATGTAAGATCAGGAACGTTTACTTGATATTTAGGACTACCAACATGCCTACTCGATTTCATCTTCCACCACCTCTCGGCTCAGATCCTCCCTGCCAGTGAGGCTGATCTGCACAGGCCCCAACACAGCTATATGCTGGGCTCCCCACCCTCCTGCTGTGCACACCAGCCTACTCTCCCTGCAATAACATGGGCAAGCCATTGTTTGTTTCCTCCAGATCAATTCTCCATTCTTCTCTGCCCTGTTCTGTGCCCTGAGGCTAATCTTTACGAACTGTACCACCTGGAATCCTTTGCCCTTTGGGGATACCGAGGTCAGAGTTTGTTACCCCACCCCTATTCTCCATTCCCTCACCACCTGGATGCAGTTTGGCAGTGGAGACTCTAACCTTGGCCATGGCTGCTGAGGGAATCCCTTTTCTCACAACCACACTGGGTTCACACTGTGCCACTCCCTCCCCCAATCCCCTAAAGCCTGGAGGTAGTAACTTTTTGAGTGCATCACTTCCCCTTGTTGGTTCTCTTAACCCCACCACATCTCTGTAAATAGTCCCTTCATTAAACTTCCCTTAATCACCACTTGAGTTCATCATCTCCTTCTTCCAGGATACTGATTGACACAGACATATCTGCTTCCCACCTACCAATCATATCTTGAATGGAACCCTATAACTCGAACTACATCCTTGCCATGGACATTTACTGATAATATTGAATGGTCTTGGAAGGAGGCGGGAAGATCCTTTGCAAGCTTAGTAGACCAAAGGAGATCAGGGTCTGATTCCTGGCCATGCTCCTTACTTGCTATGTGACCTGTGCAAGTTGCTTAAACTTTCTGAGCTTCAGTTTCCTCTTCAGTAAGATGGGGATAACCAACTATCCCATGGATTTTTTGGTGCCTAAATAAAAATAATAACTAAAATTTATCTAGTACAATGGCTGACACTTAACAAATGTTCAATAATGGTGGCTCTTCCTCCTTAACTGGATTGCTATAATGCATTTATTATAAATTTCAGCACTTTACCAAGTACTGTCTCATTCTGGACTTTAATGATTGCAGGTATAATATAATTCCTATAATTAGCTGATAAAAAGTTTCAAGGGGAAGGAAACATGTTCTATACATTTTTTAAACCACAGTTCTGAATACCCGTGATTAATACTTACCTGAACCTATAATAAATTTCAGGGATCATATTCAAACCTATAGAAATTATTTTGGGATTAAGTACTATTTAGTAAATCTCTCCTTCATGCAGCTCTCTTCCCCACTCTGCCTTTTTTTTTTTTTTTTTTTTGAGACGGAGTTTCACTGTTGTTGCCCAGTCTGGAGTGCAATGGAGTGATCTCGGCTCACTGCAACCTCCCCCTCCCAGGTTCAAGCGATTCTCCCACTTCAGCCTCCCAAGTAGCTGGGATTACAGGCATGTGCTACCATGCCCAGCTGATTTTTTATTTTTAGTAGAGACAGGGTTTCACCATGTTGGTCAGGTTGGTCTTGAACTCCAGACCTCAGGTGATGCTCCCACCTCAGCCTCCCAAAGTGCTGGGATTACAGGTGTGAACCACCACACCTGGCCCCTCTTTCCCTTTCAAGCATCATAGGAAATTAAGATTATTTAAGGAGAAGGGTAGATAATAATGATCCAAACACGAGTGTGTTTGGGGGTTCATCTCAAGCAATCAATTACAGAGTAAATACACATAATACACACAACTTGTATACTGTATCTAGAGATGTATGAATAATTTCCAGGCCCCCTGGTTTGGCTCCCTCACCTGTCATCTTATAACCTAATGTAATTAGGACAAGAACAGTCCTCTTCAGGTGTTATATGACTTACTACCTCTCAGAACTGTCTTGGGGCAGAGTTAAGAGTTTAGAATTCTAATCCATTCATATTTATGGAACAAGGTATTGGGCATGAAGATGAACAAGACGTGATCTCTGCACTCAAGAAGAGGAGTTCATAGTGTCCCCAGGGAGAGTGCTGCCTAGCCAACTCCCACAAAGGATGCAAAGGATGGACATGAGTACACTGTCCTCTGCAAAAGCCGTCTGTAAGTCTATAGCCAATCGAGGACAGAAAGAAACATGACACAAGAGCAAGCAGTGAAGGCTGCTCAGAGCCAACCAAATGATTAAGTTGATTATTTTCAGTTAACTTGGAATTGGAATGTACTTTGCATTGACTGATTAATATAGACTGTTGTGGAGTTTTTAACCTGTGGGTTTACTGTGGTTGTTGCTGTTAAAAAGGAATTTTGATAAATTATTTATATATTTTTATTTACAAATATGGTATAACTATATATAAGTATGTAAATTGAAAATTTATCTCTTTATTTTCCTAGAGCACTCATAATCCAGTATTGATTTTTGCTTTTGAAATTCTCAAGATCTGTATTGGCTTTAATAGCTTCACCAAGGGCAAGCAACAGATTCCCTTGGTTATGTAGCACCATCTGCTGGACAGACAGGTAAATAATGCCTTCCAGCTTTGAAGGGAAGATTATTGTAACTTTTTTTTTTTTTTTTTGAGATAAGGTCTGGCTCTATGGCCAAGGCTGGAGTGCAGTGGCACCATCTCAGCTCACTGCAGCTTCAATCTCATGGGCTCATGTGATCCTCCCACCTCAGCTTCCTGAGTACCTGGGACTACAGGCATGCATCACCATGGCCAGCTAATTTTCAAATTTTTTGTAGAGACGGGGTTTCGCCATGCTGCCCAGGCTGGTCTCAAACTTGTGAGCTCAAGTGATCCTCCCTGCTCGGCCTCCCAAAGTGCTGGGATTACGGTCGTGAGCCACCGCGCCCAGCCTGTAACAGATATTTAATCAGCAAACATTAACTCAGTCCTTCTCCTGTGCCAGGTCCCAGGAAAGTCCATGGCACACCTGAATGACAGCTCTACAAACTCTGGTGGTCAGCTACACCAAGAGCCCATGCAGGTGGCAGCTAAAAGACTCCTGAATTTGGAGTCATAATGATTTGGTTTTGAGTTTCAGCTTGCCTCCATCCTGAACATCTGCCTCTGTTCATGATTGTGGGTCTTGCATCTTGAGATCCTGGACAACTATTTAACTCCTCTAAGCCTGATTTTGGAATCTAGACAATGAGAATAATACTAAGGGCTTTTGTAAAGCTCAAATGGGGAAATATATGTGAAGACATCTGCACACTGTAAAATGCAATGGAAATATAAAACTGTTAACATCACTTCTCCTTTAAGTCCCTGAAAGGAAAACTGGAGAAAGCCCACTTGGAAGGTAGCATTCACTCTCTAAATGAAATGAATTGTGAAGAAAAATTTACTGCATGAAATAGATAACCTTAAATGAGGACCAGAAAGGAGACAAGAGTACTAAAAAACATATAAAGGACACATACATCTGTACATATGTACACATCTTTCTTCTGCTATTTAATCCTTGTCTTAACCACTGAATTCCCATTTTCCATAAAATAAACTAGAACAAAATACAGTAAACCACAGTATCGGCCAAAGTGCTGGGCTCAAACGATCTGCCCACCTCGGCCTCCGAAAGTGCTGAGATTACAGGTGTGAGCCATCGTGCCTGGCCGATACTGGTGCCTTAACAACCACCAACCTGCCTTAAAAACATGGTCTATCATTTCAAAATAGCAACAAATACTATTTTATTCTTAATAATGTTGAAAAATATAGGTTCAAATATTGAAAACAAATAAAGGGTATTGTAGAATAGTATATATTACATAAATTTCAAATCACTAGGATAAAAGAAAGCAAAGAAAAAATTTCCAGTCTAACAAAAGAATAGAAATGGAAAATAACAGGAAAATATAAAAGAGAGGAAAATACTAAATAATAGAAATTTGACAAAAAAGCATGAACTGTGAATGGTTTAGACTCTTACTAAATCACAAAGCTTTAAATCTTGGTTAAAAAATAAAAACGCATCTCTAGAATTGTTATAAGAAAACCACTCAAAGCTAAAATTATCAGGAACAAAATATTTTTTAAAAGGTTTTAAGTGGTATTATAATCCTCTGACAGAGGACATTATAAGGTGAATACTCAGTTTGATAAAAAGGTTATTTTACATTGGTAAATTATACTATACATGATGATTCAACTGTAATGAATTCTTATGTATTGAATAACAGAACATCAAAATATACAGAGCAATACCTGTTAGTAATAAAACAATTACCAAAACTACAATTACAGTTGGAAACTTAAAACCCTGTATCTTTCAATCTTTGACAGAGAAAGTAGACAAAAATTACCTAGGAATATTAAGGGTTTGAATTAAATATATGACTTGACATAGATATATATATCTGTTAAGAAATTAAATTTTTTCCCTCTCTTAATAACCCTTGGGCCAAAGAAGAAATCAGAGCTGCCATAAAAATATAACTGTACTAGATATATAAAGACAGTAGAACTAAGATGCCTTGGCCACAGTATTCCAGGTAATCTGCCACAAGATGAAGCCATCACTTTGCACAGGAAAACTAACTGTTTTGTTAGCTGTATAACTTATGGTATCCTCACAGGGATGCAGTGGAAATAAAATACAAACAAACATTTGAAGGGACTCTATAAATTAAAAGTGCTATACAAGATGATCCTTGACTTATAGTAGAGTTACATCCTGATAAACTCATTGTAAATTGAAAATATCATAAGTTGAAAATGCATTTAATATACCTAACCTACTGAATGAGCAACACAGCTTAGCCTGGCCTACCTTAAACATGTTTAGAATACTTACATTAGGCTAGTTGGGCAAAACCATCTGGCAATACAATACACTGTAGAGTATTGGTCGCTTACCCTCATAATCACATGGCTGACTGGGATCTGTGGCTCTATCTTTAGAGTATGGTAGCCTGGAAAAAGACCAAAATTCAAAATTGAAAGTGTGGTTTCTATAGAATGTGTATCACTTTCACATCACCATGAAGTTGAAAAATCATAAATCGAACCATCGTAAGTTGGGGACCATCAGTATATAAATGCAAAGCACTATACCCAAATCAAGGAATTATTAGGCTTGAACTGATTAAGTGGACATACTACAGGAAATTCTGTGTGTTAGTAAATGAGAAGTCCTAGTGAACAAGAAATGGAAACAGGCCATGTTGTCAACATTTCGTGAGACTCTCCAGGTGTCGGCACTGAGAGGTGCACAGCTGCATCCCATCCCTGCAAGGGCGGTGAACGCATGAGCTGGTCTGGTCTGACAACCCTGTGTGAAGAGGTGGGCCCGAATGGCAGCACAACTCGAAGGAGGGGGCCGGTTCGGGTGGGCACCACTAAGCTTCTCCCTGGATCTGGTCCTTGAGTTGATTTTGAAGGATGAGGAGGAATTAGAATGACAGAAAGGACAGTGTACGCTGAGGCTTTTTGAGATCACAAGTGGTTTGATGTGGTTGAAGAACCAGATATTTATAGGGAATGGCAGTTCTGAAGAAGTAAAGATCGTTTAAGTAAAATGCCAGCCTATTATCTAAAGATTTTAAAGTTTATCTTGACGTTGAGATAGCATGTTAAATGGAAGAGTGATCCCAGCACTTTGGGAAGATGTTGCAGGAGGATCGCTTGAGCCCAAGAGTTCAAGAACAGCCTGGGCAGCAAAATGAGACCTCATTTCTACAACAAATAAAATTAGCTGGGTGGTAGGTGCCTGTGGTCCCAACTACATGGGAGGCTGAGGCAGGAGGATCTCTTGAGCCCCCAAGCTGCAGTGAGCTGTGTTCATGCCACTGCACCCCAGCCTGGGTGACAGAGTGAGACCCTGTCTCAAATAAATACATAAATAAATAAATGGAAGACTGACTTGTATTAATCTGGTTCCAGAAACAGCAGCTCTTGGAAATTCTAAAAAGTCCAGACACAGGGAGAGTAGCTTCCATCTAATCTGTGGTTCATATTTCGAGGCCTCTTAAAACTTAAAGGAATCTTGTCACTTTCATACTTAAACCATGGGGTGTCCTACTGTAAATCCCTCACCAAGGCCCACCAAAACTACAGGTCTGGCCCCTGGTCACCTTTCCATCTTCATTTGATGATCTGCTCTCCAGGAACTGGCTTCACTTGGCTTCTAAGTGATTCTGGAATGATCTGAGTGTTTTCCTGCCTCAGAGCCTTCATTCATACAATTCTCTCTTCGTCTGACTCGTTTTCATTCTTGCTTCAGGCTTCACAGAGGCCTTCCTTGAGGGAAATCCTTTTCCCCAGTCATCTCCTTTCATATCACTTATCACATTTAAGGTCAGGGCCTAAATCTGTTTTTAATTAAATTACTGACCAACTTAAGGAATGAATAAGTCAGGAAATAGATGATTAGGATTAAAATAGGGACAAGAGCGATATAGGAAAGAAGACAGATTAGAGAGCCTCTGATGAGGCAGAATGATCACAGAAGACTGGGAAGGGAAAGCATCTAGGATGACACCCAAGTGTTCAGGTGAACTAGAGAGCATGGCTGGATAGATGGGTGGGAGATGAGTTCAGGCTGGGGCATGTTACCAATGAGAGAGGCCTGTGAGAGATCCCATTGTAGATGTCCAGCAGAAGCTGGTACTAGGTTCAGAGCTCATGAGTGGGACGTGGAGTCACTGGCACGCAAGTACTAGTTGAAGCATTATTTGTGGAAAAGATGACCTAAAGAACGTCACAGGCCCAATCAGAGAAAACACTGTGTAAACATGCTTCAGAAAGAAGAAAGCGAAGCAAGTGAACACAGCAAGGAGGAACACAGGAAGAGAGGGAGTTATCAAAGACAAAGAGGGAAGTCCTAGAATGCCAAATGCCACTGGACCAAATGCCAGGAAGAGGCTGAAAAGAGCCATCCCCCGTGACCTTGGTGAGGGCTTTTTAGGAGGCAGAAGTGAGGCTGCAGAATCAATAAGAGAGTTTGTGAAATACAGTCACTAAAACCCCCAAATCTTTTAATCCAGGTTTGGTCAACATTTCAAAGAAAATAGTAAGTAACAATTTTAAAATTGTGAGGAAAATCTTTAAGGGGTAAAGGCTGTTGACACAAGTGCTTTTGAGAATGGTAGTATTGGCTAGTATTATTTTGTTTTAAAAGTGAGAGAAAGATGTATAATATTTATATACAGACAATCTTGGATATATGATGGTTCAACTTACTGATTTTTTTACTTTAAAATGGTGCAAAAGTGATAAGCATTCAGTAGAAACTGTACTTAGAATTTTGAATTTTGATCTTTTCCTAGGCTAGTGATAGGCAGTTTGATGCCCTTGCAATGCTGGGCAGTGGCAGTAAGCTCAGCCACACAATAGCAAGGGTAAATAAACAACCAATACTCTACAGTGTACTGTGTTGCCAGCATTTTTGGATATTGTGTCTTGTGTTTTCACAACCCATTTTGGTCACATTTAAAGTACATTTATACATCTTCTATTTCTTGTCATTTTAAAATTGAGTTTTTGTCCAGTCAATTTATCAGAAAGGGCGAGGAGCCCTCCAGTCATAGTTGAAGGCTTAATAGTTACTTCTCATGGATTGCAACATGTGATCTTAAGACTGAAACTGTTTGTGGTGAAAAGATATGTGGTGAGCAATCAAGACGTTTTTCACTGGAAATGGAATTAGCCTGCAGCTGCTGTGAGATTAACTCACTGACCTTTACTTCACTGATCTTGTTATCAACTCGATCTTCATGGATTCTCTGGCAAATTAGGAAAACTATATTTAGACTAGCATCCTTGTAAGATTTTTACAAGTAAAATAAAATATTCCTTTCTTTTTCAGAATACAAGGCAAAGTTGCTTTCTTTCAGAGATAAACAAATGGAAATACATAGATCTCTTCTTAAAAGGGCTCTTCCTGTCCTAGTACATACACCATATTGTACTATGATTTTGTTGTTCGTTTCTCCATTTTCATTACTTCTTTGGATACTACTGAGTTTAAAGTTACACACTTTCTGTAGTAGTCCATTTTCATACTGCTATAAAGAACTGCCTGAGAATAGGCAGGAAGAGGTTTAATTGACTCACAGTTCTGAATGGCTGGGGAGACCTCAGGAAACTTACAATCATGGCAGAAGGCAAAGGAGAAGCAAGTACCTTCTTCACAAGGCAGTAGGAGAGAGAGGGAAAAGGGGGAAGCCCAGACACTTACCAAAAAACCAGATCTCATGAGAACTCCCTCACTATCATGCAAACAGCATGGGGGAAACTGCCCCTATGATTCAGTCACCTCCCATCAGGTCCCTCCCTTGACACATGGGGATTACAATTGGAGATGAGATTTGGGTGGAGACACAGAGTCAAACCATATCATTCTACCCCTGGCCCCTCCAAAATCTCATGTCCTTCTCACATTTCAAAACCAAATACGCCTTCCCAACAGAACCCCAATGTCTTAATTCGTTCCAACATTAACTCAAAAGTTCAAGTCCAAAGTCTCATCTGAGACAAGGCAAGTCCCTTCTGCCTGAGTCTGTAAAATCAAAAGCAAGTTAGTTACTTCCAAGATACAATGGGGGTACAGGCATTGGGTATATGTTCCCATTCCAAATAGGAGAAATTGGCCAAAACAAAGGGGTCACAGGCCCCATTCAAGTCTGAAACTCGACAGGGCATTCATTAAATCTTAGATCTCCAAAATCTCCTTTGATCCCCTGTCTCCATGCTAATGCAAGGGGTGGGCTCCCATGGCCTTGGACAGCTCCACCTCTGTGGCTCTGCAGGGTACAGCCCCTGCAGCTGCTTTCACAGGCTGGCATTGAGTGCCTGCAGCTTTTCTAAGCGCAGAGTGCAATCTGTTGGTGGATCTACCATTCTGGAGTCTGGAGGATGGTGGTCCTTTTCTCACAGCTCCATGAGGCAGTGCCCCAGTGGGGACTCTGTGTGGGAGCTCCAACCCCACATTTCCCCCCTGCATTGCCCTAGCAGAGGTTCTCCATAAGGCTCTGCCCCTGCAGCAGACTTCTGCCTGGACATCGAGGTGTTTCCATACATCCTCTGAAATCTAGGCAGCGGCTTCCAAAGCTCAACTTTTGTCTTCTGTGCACCCAAAGACCCAACACCACATGGAAGCTGCTAATGCTTGGGATTTGTACCCTCTGAAGCAATGGTCCAGCTGTACCTTGGCTCCTTTTAACCACAGCTGGAGCTGGAGTGGCTGGAACACAGGGTGCCATGTCCCAAGGCTGCACAGAACAGCTGGGGCCTGGGCCTGGGCCTGGCTCACACCATTTTTCCCTTCTAGGCCTCCAGGCTTGTGTTGTGAGGGTCTGCCCTGAAGATTTTCTGAAACGCCCTGGAGACATTTACCCCATTGTCTTGGCAACTCACATTCAGCTCCTCGTTACTTATGCAAATTTCTCCAGCCAGCTTGAATTTCTCCCCAGAAAATGGGTTTTTCTTTTCTACCACATGGTCAGGCTGCAAACTCCCTAAACTTTTGTTGCACTCTGCTTCCCCTTTAAACATAAGTTCCAATTTCAAACCATCTCTTTGTGAGCACATATAACTGTATGCTTTCAGGAAAAGCCAGGTCACCTCTCGAATGCTTTGGTGCTTAGAAATATCTTCTGCCAGATACTCTAAATCATGTCTCTCAAGTTCAAAGTTCCACAGATCTCTAGGGCAGGGGAAAAATGCTGCCAGTCTCTTCGCTAAAACATGTAAGAGTGACGTTTACTCCAGTTCCCAATAAGTTCCTCATCTCCACCTGAGACCATCTCAGCCTGGACTTCATTGTCCATATCACTATCAGTGTATTGGTCAAAGCCATTCAACAAGTCTCTAGGAAATTCCAAACTTTCCCACATCTTCCTGTCTTCTTCTGAGCCCTCCAAACTGTTCCAATTGCTGCCTGTTACCCAGTTCCAGAGTCGCTTCCATATCTTCAGGTTATTTTTTATAGCAGTACCCCACTCCTGGTACCAAGTCTCTGTATTAGACCATTTTCACACTTCTATAAAAAACTGCCTGAGACTCGGTAATTTATAAAGGAAAGAGGTTTAATTGACTTACAGTTCCAAATGGCTGGGAAGGCCTCAGGAAACTTATAATCATGGTGGAAGGCAAAGGAGAAGGAAGTACCTTCTTCACAAGGCAGCAGGAGAGAGAAAAAGAAGGGGTAAGTGACAGACACCTACCAAACAACCAGATTTCATGAGAACTCACTCACTATCATGAGAACAGCAGAGGGGAAACCATCCCCATGATCCAATCATCTCCTACCAGGAACCTCCGTCAATACACGGGGATTACAATTGGAGATGAGATCTGGGTGGCAACACAGAGTCAAACCACATCACTTTTGTATTTGAATAAATTTTATTTATTTTTCTTTTCTTTTCTTTTTTTTTTTTTTGAGACAGGGTCTTGCTCTGTCACCCAGGCTGGAGTGCAGTGGCATGACCACAGCTCACTGCAGTCTCCATCTTCCAGACTCAAGTCATCCTCTTGCCTCAGCCTCCTGAGTAGCTGGGACTACAGGCATGTGCCACCATGCCTGGCTAATTTTTATTTTTTTACTTTTTTGACACAAGGTCTCACTGTGTAGCTCAGGCTGGAGTGCAGTGGTCTAATCATAGCTCACTGCAGCCTCAAGCAGTTCTCCTGCCTCAGGCTCCCAAGTAATTGGGACTACAGGTGTGCGTCACCATGCCTGGCTAATTTTAAAATTTTTAATAGAGACAAAGTCTTGCTATGTTGCCCAGGCTGGCCTTGAACTCCTGGCCTCAATTGATCCTCTCACCTTGGCTTCCTAGAGTACTGGGATTATAAGCATGAGCCACTGTGCCTGCCCATGGATTCTTTTTCTATTCTTTTCTTTTCTTTTTCTGAGACAGAGTCTCGTTCTGTCGCCCAGGCTGGAATGCAGTGGTGCGAACTTGGCTCACTGCAACCTCCACCTCCCGGGTTTAAGGGTTTAAGCAATTCCCTGCCTCAGCCTCCCAAGTAGCTGGGATTACAGGCACCTGCCACCACGCCTGGCTAGTTTTTGTATTTTTAGTAGAGATGGGGTTTCACCATCTTGGCCGGGCTGGTCTTGAACTCCTGACCTCGTGATCCACCCTCCTCGGCCTCCCAAAGTGCTGGAATTACAGGCATGAGCCACTGTGCTTGGCCTATTTTTTCTACTCTATAAAATATTTATGGAAGTCTACTGCTTTTCTCAGTGATTTTTGAGTTTCAAATGTGTTAAAATATTAACCCTTTGTGATGTTTCTTATAATCATTCTTTGTAATTGCTTTCTGCTTTTTAATGTTGTCTATTTCTTTGACATACAGAAATATTATGTTTCTACAATGTTGACTCAGCTAACTTTTGTGATTTCTATTAATGTGTTTAAACTATATATAGATTTTTTACTCAATTTTATAGAATGAGAGCACAGAAAAAGGAAATGACAAATACATTTTTATTATTATAGATTCACCAAATACCTTCCTTGCATTTTTTCCTTTTTTTTTCTTTCCTTCCTTCCTTCTTTCTTTCTTTTTTTTTTTTTTTTTTTTTTTTTCGAGACAGAGTGTTGCTCTATTGCCCAGGCTGGAGTGCAGTGGTACAATCTTGGCTCACTGCAACCTCTGCTTCCCAGGTTCAAGTGATTCTTGTGCTTCAGCCTCCTAAGTAGCTGGGATTACAGGTGCATGCCAACATACCCGGCTAATTTTTGTATATCTTGTAGAGACGAGGTCTCGCCAAGTTGCCCAGGCTGGTCTTGAACTCGTGACCTCAAGTGATCTGCCTGCCTCGGCCTCCCAAAGTGCTGAGATTACAGGCATGAGCCACCGTACCCAGACACTGTTTTCAAAGATCTTCTAAATATTCTTTATTCCTTTCTTGAACTTCAACACCTAACTCACACAATAGCAATACTATTGCTATTTATAACAGTAACCCATGTATATTAATAAGTGCTTTAATGGTGAATTCATAGCAACTCTCAGGTTTTGAGTAGGAATAAATCCTAAATAACAGAGAAAGTGAGATTACTTAATTCTCATGTCATTTCTGTTCTCTTGGTTAAGTAGACTGATTTTAAAAACACAGGGCACATAACCTCATTGGTAAGATGGAAAATAAGCTCTTGGTGAGCAGTTAGCTGCTCCAAATGAATCTGAGTCTAGGCTCAAATAATTAGAAACTATAGCTCTTAGAACTGAGATAATTCTGCCATTCTCAACAATCTTTGGCAAGAATAACTTCTTACTACTACTACTGTATGACAGACAGCATCCTAGGATCTTTTCATGTATTATTTCTAATCTTCACAATGATATTTCCAAATACTTGTTTTACCAGTGAGGAAACAAAGGCTTAGAAATGTTAATTAACTTGCCCACATTTACCTAGCATGTTAGCAGTGAAGCTGGGATTTTAACTCAGGTCTGTCTGATGCAAAAAAAATCTGTACTTTTCTTACTGTGCCAAACTGCTTTTTAAAACCCTACCTACTATGCAAGGTGATATAGTTTGGATGTTGTCCCCATCCAAATCTCATGTTGAAACATAATCCCCAATGCTGAAGGCGGGGCCTGGTACGAGGTGATCAGATCATGGGGGTGGATTTCTCAGGAATTTAGTACCATCCTCTTGGTACTGTCCTTGAGGTAACGAGTGATTTCTCATGCGATCTGGTCATTTAAAAGTGTGGGGCTTCTTCCCTGCCCCATTCTCTCTCTCTTGCTCCTGCTTTTGCCACATGATGTGCAAGCTCCTGCTTCACCTTCTGCCATGAGTAACAGCTTCCTGAGGCCTCCCCAGAAGCAGATGCTGGAGCTATGCTTCCCTTACAGCCTGCAGAACCATGAGGCAAATAAATCTCTTTTCTTTCTTTTTCTTTTCTATTTATTTATTTATTTTATTTATTTATTCATTTATTTATTTTTTGAGACAGGGTCTTGCTCTGTCGCCCAGGCTGGATGGAGTGCAGTGTTGCAATCATGGCTCACTGCAATCACTGACTCCCAGCTTCAAACAATTTTCCCACCTCAGCCTCCTGGGTGGCTGGGACTACAGGTGCATGCCACCATGCCCAGATAATTTTTGTATTTTTTGCAGAGAGGGGGTTTCACCTTGTTGTCCAGGCTAAGTTTGAACTCTTGGCTCACCATTACACCTGCTTCAGCCTGACAAAGTGCTGAGATTACAGGCCTGATCCACAGTGCCTGGCCAAACCTCTTTTTTTATAAATTACCCAGTCTCAGGTATTTAGGGCAATGCAAGAACAGCCTAATACTTAAGCCATAGGGGTAAGTACACTATCTCATTTACATACAGAGTAATGAGTTTGATATTCTTGGTCATTTGATATTGACATTGCTGGCAAGATTTTAAAACTAGTAATTAAAAAGATAGCTGGTAAGCAATAGGGAAAGGACTCAGTCACTAGAAGCCAGTAAGGTTTTGCTAGGAGTAAATCTTGCCTGGTTATTCTCACTTCCTTTTTAATCTGGTCAACAGCTCACAGATCACAGGAATGGGGGAATTACTCAGACAGGCATTTGGAAAAGTCTTTCCTATCATCTTGTTTATGAACACTCTGAGCTGGATGATAATATAATGAAGTGAACTCCAACCAAAGAGCCTTGATTAATGGACTGATGTTCTTAGACCAATCTTTTTTAGTTTAATAATTTACAAGGATATGGATAGAGATAATAACTCTGCTGATACTGTGAGGCTTCGGGGAGTAGCTGATGTGAGATGAATGAATCCAGTTCCAAGATAATTTCAACAGAATGGAAAAATGGGCAGATCCTAACAAGATGAAATTTAACAGGGTTGAAAGAGGAGTCCTCCACTATGGTCCCAGGCTAGCTCACATACAGCTGGGGGACACAGTGCTTCACAGTTTTTGGTGAAGAGACTAAGGAATTATTTATATGATGAAACAGCCTCATGAGTCTGGCCATGGTAGGTTGCACAAGCCACAGTGTAGTGTCTGGTTTAGGAATCTCATGGCCCCACTCACCATGGTGAGGCTCATGTGCTTTCTTAGGGACTCTGATGAACAGAACATTCACCAGAGGGACTTTCCATCATGGGAGTTACTCAAACTTGTGTCTCCAATCACATAATCAACAGCTGGATGAACTGGAAAGGCTTAACCTGGAGAAGGCTTAGAGGAGATTAGGTATTTGTCTCCAAACTTGCGAAGAGCTGAATTGGAAAAGCAACGTGGAAAAAAGATACTTGGTATAGGTAGGCTTGGAGGGTGCAACTGGGTAGAAGTTATAAGAGATAGACTCTGGCTTCACTGCTAAGGACGAACTTTCTAACATAGCTGTAGAAAAATGAAATGAACGATTTCAAAGAAGTAAGTCCCTTAACCTGGGACTCTTGTTCAATCAGAGGCAGTATGAGTAACCATCTGAGACGGATGTTTTAAAGAGAATTTAGCATTCAGTGAGGTCAGACCATATGACTGCTAAGATACTTTCTTAAGTAGAGATTCTACAATATTCCAAAAACAAAATTTTTAAATATATAGCTACTCACATAAGAAATAAAATGTGATTTGCATGAAAAAGAACAAAAAGCGACAATATTCTCAAATAAACAAGAAAACCAATTCATTATGTGACTTTAGGCATATTTCCTAAAACTCTGTCTTCAGCTTACTTCTCTGACTTACCTTCCAAATTTATCACTACATCTGAAAACTCGTTTCTCTAGGCTACATTATGGAGGCTCTGTTAGTAGATCTCGGAAAACCACATATGTATTTTAAAATCAGAGTGATTCTAATGCTCAGTCAGTTTTGGGGACTGCTGAAATTCTAGACTTACGTACAGGGGTTACCTTCTATTTTGCATAAGAAATTTGTCTGTATATGTAAAGCTTGAAAAGAACTTAGTAATTCTAATCAACTTGTTAATATTTAAGGCCACTGCAGTTTAATGTTTAAGCATCATTTTAATGCAGGCAGCAAACTCAATCTCAAGTTTCTAAACTCTAACAATTTAAAACATAAAAATATCACATCCAGGCTGGGTGCAGTGGCTCATGCCTATAATCCCAGAACTTCCAAGGCAGGAGGATCACTTGAAGCTAGGAGCTGGAGACCAGTATAGGCAGCAAAGTGAGACCCCACCTCTACAAAAATGTTTTAAAAGTTAGCTGGGCATGGTGGTGTGCAGCTGTAGTCCCAGCTACGTGGGTGACTGAGGTGGGAGGATCACTGAAGCCTAGGAGCTCGAGGCTGCAGTGAGCTATGATTGTGCCACTGCACTCCGGCCTGTGAAACAGATCAAGACTCTGTCTCTAATTTAAAAAAAAAAAAAAAAAAGGAAACCTTTTCTCAGAGGAGTTTGGTAGGAGGCTCTGGGGTCATAAAACTGCTTCCTCATCTGTTCTCGTGAAGACTTTAGATGAGACATGACAGAAATCCATCATCGAACGCCCTTTGATTCAGAGGACAAATCCATCACCTGTGGCTTTCTGGACTTTGAGACAAATGGTTCCTACAGCTAGTCTCTCGCTCAGGCATCCCTCCCCTCCCCCTACCAGAGGATGGGAAGACGAACTGAAAGAAGGAAAGAAGACGAAAGAGATGGGCCTATAGCAAGTTTCTTGTGGAGTAAAAGTCCAGCAATTATTAAAGATTGAGAAGAAATAATGAATTAAAATGAGGCAATGACACAACATATCCAAATCCAAAAGAAGGGGATATTACATGTATACGCCAATAAAAGCAATATTAGTAGCATTATTTGTATTTCCTGAAAGTTAAATTTGGAAAGTCATTTTTCTGGAAACAATTCTTATGCAGACTTTATGTTAACTGATATAATAATAGTATGACAATAATGATGATACTGTAATAATGGTGATACTGTATTCATTGTTAAGGAATCTAATACAAAAATCCTCTAACTTGGTTTCTTGGTGTCTGGCAAGTTGCCACGCGTATCTCATAGTGAAAATCACCACCACTGACGATGAACTGGCTGGTCAGATAATGCTGATTTTTAATTAATGTTTACCAGAGTGCAGAAGAGAACTTGACCAAATTCTAAATTGGAATTGAACTCTTTGCCTCTCCCGTCCTGTGTTAAACGCAAGTCCACAGTCACTTAGCATTTGGTCACAATTTAGTCACAATTAGAAAAATTCTTTCTTATATATTTTTCAGAGCCTTCTGTTGCCATCTGCAGTTTTGGGAAATGGGGGTACAGCAGAGAACAAATCACGTCCCTTCTCTTATAAAGCTTGCATTCTACCATAGGAAGATAGTCAATAAACAAATGCCCAAATAAAAATATTAGAATTAAAAACAAAGGTAAGAAGGTAACTTCCCAGTTGCCCCTCTGGTGCATACACACTTCCTTTTAATTATGATTTGGATAGGTCAAATCTTTTCAAAACTTTCCCATTAGTGCAAGGAAATATTCTACTTACAGATGCACAAGACTATGAGAAAAAGGAGGTATGTGACCAGTTCCCGTAAAACACTTTTAAGGTATTTCTCTCGGTTAGTGCTGCTTTCCTCCATGAGTCTTGTTCCCCAGAGACCTTTAAAATAATAATGAAGAAAAGAAAAGATATCATTTTATTTAAGAAATCTCATGAATGGCAAAAGGGAAAATAAAGCACAAATTAAAAAGTTCACCTATAAGGGAGATTCTCCTTTTTTTTTTTTTAATCACATTTTGAATGCAACTGAGAAACTGGTTTTGTAGGCCTACCTTTTATTTAAGAGTACATCTGGCTCCAATGTTACCCCAAACATGCAAAACATAAGGCAACAATTCTGATCATTTTATAGGCTCCCAAGCCCATTAGCAATATCTTAGTCAAATTTTAAAAAGAGAACAGGAAATAAGGAAGGCCTAACAGAGGAGTTAAATAATTGTGCAAAACTTATCAGTTCTTCCTATTTGAGGTGGATACAACCTTGTAATTATCCTACTACTAAACCCAGTTAAGAACATGATGTAATTATATTTCAAGTAATAACTTTTAGGTCACCCCTGATGAAAAGAAGTCCTTGTTGGAGAATCACTTCAATATAGAAACATGTTATGCTTCTAACCTACTGGCATAAAAACTCTGCTCTGTAAGAGCAGAAGCTGTCCTATTAAAAAACTCCATGGTGACTGATTACACTAAGCGTGCTTAGCTGAGCAGATTTTTAAAACAGCAATTAACATATAATCTTTAAAAGCAGCAACTCATCCATGTTCCCTCTCTTTCTTTGTAGAAAGAGTAGAATCAACAACCATGTTCTACATTTTAGCAGATGGAAAAAGCGTTGGGCTGGCTGAGTGAAGATGACGTAACCCTCCATGAGCTTGCTGGAGAGAGTGACCGCAGTTTTGGACTCAGCCAGCAGCAGACATGGTGGCCATCCAAAGCCCCGTTAATGAACAGTGTGGTAAAGTCACATTGCTGGTTACTTGGAAGAACCTTAACACTTTCCAAAAAAGACAAACCTCTCAATCCTTTCAGTTAGATTAGGTTGGCTGTTAAATGGAAACCAACCTGGTCCTTGCATGTTGTCTCATGCTTTGATTCCACAGACCTTAACTCCTTCAATAATGGAAACTCACACAGCCACTTTCGCCACAATCAAGCCACATAGGGAAATGGGAAAAAATAGCATAAGGCCTTTTACTTCGAAGAAATGAGTTCATCATTAGTGTTCATGTATTTTTTAAGTCTTATAATAATATGTAAGTTCTATTCCTGAATTTGGGTATTTCCTTTCCTTTTCTTTTTTCCTTCCAAATGTCCTTTAGGAAAATCAGCACTGAATTCAAAAACACTGTGTTACGCATCATACGTTTCACCAGCACTGAGAGTGGAGCATAACTTATGACCAACTTTGCTTCTGCCAAGATCTGGTAGTTGTCAGGGAATTACTCACTCAGAAGAAATGCAGCAAGCAGAATGTTTGTTCACTGAAACACTATCATATTAAAGAATTATTACAAATTTAGATGACATGGAAAATTACAACTTAGAATAACACAGAGGCAGCCAAAGATTAGGCTCGGTAGCCCTGGACACAAATACATCACTTCTTTGGGTAAATTTATTTTGGAGGCCAGGCCTAAAATATATGTCAATAGAGACTGCTAGTCTCTTTACTCCCAGGGAAGACTGTTACCCTGTCTCATTTGGTCAATGATTTCATTCTTTCCCATGGTTTATAAACAACTAGGCACTAAGGAACAGCCATGATTCTTAATATTTATACGTGGTATTGCTTGGCCTATAAATAGAAAAAAACAAACTCCTATCAAATTTTCTTCAAGCTAGGCTGGGTGCAGTGGCTCAAGCCTATAATCCCAGCACTTTGGGAGGGTGAGGCGGGTAGATCACTTGAGGTCAGGAGTTCAAGACCAGTCTGGCCAACATGGTGAAACCCTGTCTCTACTAAAAATACAAAACTTAGCCAGGTGTGGTGGCGGGCGCCTGTAATCCCAGCTACATGGGAGGCTGAGGCAGAAGAATCGGTTGAACCCGGGAGACAGAGGTTGCAGTGAGCCAAAATCACACCACTGCACTCCAGCCTGGGTGACAGAGTGAGACTCCATCTTGAAAAAATAATAATATTCAAGCTAAACTTGTGATGGCCTACGGCAATTTAATTCTAGCCTTTGAATGAAACATTGCAAATGGAAAGAAACAAGTCTTCTTATGTATGTATGTATGTACGTATGTATGTATGTATGTATGAATTTATTTATCTTGAGGCAGGGTCTCTCTCTGTTACCCAGCCTGGAGTGTAGTGGTACGATCACAGCTCACTGAAGGCTTGATCTCCTGGGCTCAAGCCATCCTTCCGCCTCATTTTTTGATTTTTTGCAGAGATGAGGTCTCAATACGTTGCCCAGGCTGGTCTCGAATTCTCGGCCTCAAGTGATCCTCCTGCTTCAGCCTCCCAAAGTGCTGGGATTACAGGCATGCCACTGCACTTGGCCTCCCTTATTTATATTTTTATATGATATACATCCATATATTTTCTTTCTTTTTTTCTGTCTCTGTTTTTTTTTTTGTTTGAGACAGAGTCTCACTCTATCACCCAGGCTGGAGTACTCTGGCACAATCATGGCCCACTGCAGCCTTGACCACCCGGGCTCAAACAATCCTCCTGCCTCAGCTCAGCCTCCCAAGTTTCTTAAACTACAGGTACATACTACCAAGCCCAACTAAGTTTTTAATTTTTTGTAGAGGTGGGGTCTCACTACATTGCCTAGGCTGGCCTCAAACTCCTGAGCTCAAGCAATCCTCTCACCTTGGCCTCTCAAAGTGCTGGGATTACAGATGTGAGCCACTGTGCTTGGCCCTGTGTATTTTCTTTTTCTAAATTACTCTATCTACTTCCTCAAATATTTACTGCTTTAAATTTTTCATCTCATTTTCCCATTGGGTGTGTATGTAGGACCAATCTTAGGGTACAGGGACCTTTTACATCCTGGTGGGTGAGAAATAGTTGCATCTACAAGTAGGAAAAATAGCTGTCCTGCAGCCAACTATTCTCCATGTTTGGCAGAGCTGATAGGATAAGAATGGTTAAGGATGGAATCATGTGCAAATTGGTGACACTCTTCAAAATCAACTGTTGTCTTTCCCATAGCTGTTCTAGTTGTGGTGGGAGTTAACTTCCCAGCATTGAAGGTATTCAATGTTTCCAGGTGTTAGGGAGAACACGGACTGAGAGTATAGACCCAATTTCCTTTAAGAGGGTGCTTAGCTAATGCCAGAATGCAAAGCCAGAGTACATCATCTAAAGCAGGGTCCCCAGTCCCCAGGCTGCAGACGGGTACTGGTCCATGGCCTGTTAGGAACCGGGCCCCACAGCAGGAGGTGAGCCGCAGGCAAGTGAGCATTACCGCCCGAGCTCCGCCTCCTGTCAGATCAGGGGTGGCATTAGATTCTCACAGGAGTGAGAACCCTATTGTGAACTGCGCATGTGAAGAATCTAGATTGCCTGCTCCTTATGAGAATCTCACTAATGCCTGATGATCTGAGGTGGAACAGTTTCATCCCCAAACACTTCCTACCCCAGGTCTGTGGAAAAATTGTCTTCCATGAAGCCGGTCCCTGGTGCCAAAAAGGTTGGGGACTGCTGATCTAAACAGTGCATTCCTCTGCTCAATGTTACTTATTAATAGGAACACTGGGGAACTCTGTAATGGAGAACTCCAAGCACAAAAGATATTCCAAACATAAATAATTGGCTTTGAACAAAAATGCCATTTCCCCAACTATTTTATCTAAATCCTTTCAAAAACTTTTTATTGGCTGGGCACACTGGCTCACGCCTGTAATCCCAGCACTCTGGGAGGCCGAGGTGGGTGGATCACCTGAGGTCAGGAGTTTGAGACCAGCCTATCTAACATGGTGAAACCTCCTCTCTACTAAAAATACAAAAGTTAGCTGGGTGTGGTGGTGAGCTACTCGGGAGGCTGTAGTCCCAGCTACTCGGGAGGCTGAGGCAGGAGAATCGCTTGAACCCGGGAGGCGGAGGCTACAGTGAGCCGAGATCACACCACTGCACTCCAACCTGGGCAAAAGAGTGAAACTCCGTCTAAATAAATAAATAACTACAACTTTTTATTTTAGAAAATATCAGAAATATCACAAAGAGAGAATATTATAATGATAAATCTATCACCTAGATCCAACAATATCAACTCAATGCCAATCCTAGTTCATTTACATCCTCACCCATCTGATGCCACTGCTGATATGATAGGGGGTAGCAATGCTCACTAGCCTGCTGCTCACCTCCTGCTCTGCGGCCCAGTTCCTAACAGGCCATGGACCAGTACCACCCCAATTATTTTGGAATTAATTCCAGCTATTGTATCACTTCATCTGTAAATATTTCAGTTCCATGGTTAAAAGGTTAATTGTGTATCTTTCACCTCACACTAACCTTCCCCATCTGAAATACATGAAACCCATATGGCCTATTATCAAGGCATGGTGCAACATAGGGCTCTGGAGTCAAATGACATTAAACTGAGGGCTTAACCACTTGGGAGCTGAGAAAGCTTACCTGACATCATGAGCCTCCACTTCCTCATCTAAAAATGGAGTAAGAGTACCTTTTTGTGGGGTTGTTCTGGGAAACAGAAATATTATTTGTGGAGCACTTAGAGTGCTTGGAAGAGGCCTGTCTGTAGCTTCAGAAACAAGCCCAGATCTGCAAAATGGCCTTAGGAGGCCCAGTTGGTCCAGATTCCAGAGTGGTATAAAGACTCAAATCCATCTGAACTATCAGTTCATTGTGATAGCCTGACCAAATTCTCAGTGCATTTGTATCATAAAAGAATCCTCTTTTTGTGCTAAGATACATGTGAGTCTTGTTTAGAAGAATGAACACAATCCTTCCTAGTATTCACTTGAATTGCAGGGACACTTTTAGAAAGGGAAGTGGCTTTTTATCTATATTTGTCCATTTTCTATAGAATAGACAGTTGCTACCTTAAGTAATATTGACTCCAGAATCTTGAATTTTTTTTTTTTTTTAGAGACAGTGTCTTGCTATGTTGCCCAGGCTGATCTCGGATTCCCAGGCTCAAGCAATCCTCCCGCCCCAGTCTCTTAAGCAGCTGGGATTAAAGGCGTGTGCCACCGTGCCTGGCCTGAATCCTGAATTCTTAATCAGCCATCTCCTGAGGTGCAGACAAGTATATGTTACAGTTAACATGTAGTTCTACCTGCATATTCTCTAGACAGCTCACACTCACCTCCCGCAAAATTTGCTTTTCTTTCTCTGGAAATCTCCTCTTTCTGTTTGGGTTAATGGTACCATGCCAGAAATTTGGGTTTCACCCTAGAATAGGCCCTCTTCTTATCCCTCCCATGGAGTTGGTTCCACAGTTCTGATGGTTTTTGTTTCCTTTCTATCTAGCTTCTTTCCATCCCAGCTCATATGCCTTAGTTCCAGCCCTCGTCACCCCTCCTCCTCTTGGTCAGCCCTCTCCTGACCTAGTCTGTCAGCCACCAGCCTACCCACCTCACCCTATCCTCTACGTTGTTCCAAGAGTCATCTTCAGATTGACAAATGATCATATCAGCCCCCTAGGCTTGAAGCCCACACTGGCTCCAAATGTCTACAGGAAAACGTGCCCATTCCATGGTGGGAGTTACAGGTTTGCTGTAACAGGAACAGGTCTTGTTCCTATTATTTTTCCCTCCTTGTATTCCCCTCTCATTCTTCAAAATGAAGCTCAAGTTTTACTCCCTCTGGAAACCTTCTCTGACCTCTCCAGGTAAATCTGATCCTCTCTTTTTTTTTTTTTTAGATACAGGCTCTCACCTCTCACTGTGTCACCCAGGCTGGAGTGCAGTGGCGTGATCACAGCTCACTGCAGCCTCAATCTCCCAGGCTCAGGTGATTCTCCCACCTCAAACTCCCAAATAACTGGGACCACAGGCATGTGCCACCCTGCCTGGCTAATTTTTGTATTTTTTGCCACTCACTATGTTGCCCAGGGTAGCCTTGAACTGCTGGGCTTAAGTGATCCTCCCATCTCAGCTTCCCAAAGTGTTGGGACTATAGGCATGAGCGGCTGTGCCTGGCCTTATCCTCTCTTTGCTGGAATCCTCCCATATCTGGGACCTGGCATTGCAATGACTTACTTATACCTCTGTTTTCCCTACTAAACCCTGAGCTCCTTGAAGGTCGAGACCTTGTATTATTCATCTCTGCATCCCTAGTACCTATCACAAAAGAAAGTCCCATGAATGTTTTTTACTGCATGAATTCTGTTACTGGCACAACCTTACCACAACCCCAAAGGGTAGCAAGCCTCCCTCAAAAAAATCCCCAGAGTAATGAAAATACAAAGTCTGCTTGTTCAAAATTATGGTGCGAATAAAAAAGGAAAGGGAGGAAGTGATGGAGTAAAGTTCAGATTAAAAATAAACGGAAAGTCACAACAGTCGAAAGGTGGAAAAAAACCGCAAATGCCCATGAACTGATGAATGGATAAACAAAATTTGGTGTGTGTGTATATATGTGTACAAACTTCCTTTTTATGATGAAATAGTATTTCATTGTGTGTGCACATGTACACACACAATTAAATAGTATTTCGTCATAAAAAAGAAGGGAATTTGCACGCATGGATAAACCTTGAAAATACTATGCTAAGTGAATAAGCCAGACACAAAAGATCAAACATGGTCTGATTTCACTTACATCAGGTAGCTACAACAGGGAGACTCACAGAAAGGGGAAGTAGAATGGAGGTTACTAGCGTCTGGGGCAAGGGGGAGTGGGGAAACAGGGAGTTACTGTTTAATGAGTACAGAGTTTCTGTTTGGGATGATAAAAAAGTTCTGGAAATAAATTGTGTTAAGTCCATTTACATAATATAATAAATCTACCTAATGTCACTCAATTATATACTTAAAATGGTTAAAATGGCCAATTTTATGTTATGTATATTTCACACCAATTTAAAAAAAATAGAGAGGCAGGCTCTCCCACTCCCTAGATCAATTAGAATTCTGGATACACGGACTGTGTTGGTATGATTATCCTGCATGTCCTAATAAATAAATGTTCATAAACTGAAGAGATGCAGACAATTGCTGGCTAAAGTTAGGTTTGGGCACTACTGGCATATAGCACAGTGGATGAGAAACACTTTGAACACAAAGTGCCTGGAATTAAATCCTGACTGCAACATCTAATAGTTGCGGCCCTGGGCAAGT